>NT_187592.1:0-153456 GCF_000001405.40 Homo sapiens
GTAGGGACGACCTAGATGGAATCGGAGGGCATTGGGAGCATTCAGCACAGAGGCTTTCAAACGTGGGGCACTTTCTTTGGATGGAAGCAAAGGGGAAACCCCCCGAAGTCCCCCCGCACGGCTGCCATGCAGGCTCAGGGTCAGGTTCTCCTCCTTCAAGGCTGGAGTGCCTGGGCTCCATCGTCAGCCTCCTTCTCCACCTGCGTTGGTTCCTTAGCCAAAGCCATCCAGTCCGGGCCTGCAGCTGGGAGACAGGGAAGAAGAGGATGTGTGGGGCCCGTGGCACTTGACCTGGGTGACATGAGGGTCACTTCAAACACGGCCAGTGTGCAGCCTCCCAGGTCCCTGAGGTCGGCGTCTCCGGGTCAACCCTTAGTGACATCTCCAGGCCCAGGTGGCCTTGAAGTGTGGACACAGGTGGGCACCACTGGGACAAGCAGCCGTTCCCACACCAGCAGCCAGTTCCCACGCCAGCAGCCAGTTCCCACACCGGCAGTACCCACACCCAGGGAAAGGGAGACCGTGCCCGGGGCTGGCCCCTCGGGACGGCCTAGGCGTGAGTGCCAGTGACATAACCAATTCTGAGGAAATTGCAAAAGACAAGGCATGCACTTTGAGTGGTTGCGTAACAGGCTGTGAAGGGCCTCTGCCTGAAATGCTTGTATTTTTCAGAAAGCCTTGTTACAACCTGCCATAACAAAATTCCGCAGACTGGGTGGCTTACTTCTTCGTGGTTCTGGAGGCCGGAAGTCCAAGACCAAGGTGTGAGTAGGGCTGGTTCCTCCGGAGGCTCCTCTCCTGGGCTTCTGGATGCTGCCCTCTGCCTGTGTCCTCGCCCGGCCGTCCCTGTGTGTGTCTGTCCTAACCTCCTCTTCCTATAAGGACACTGGTCCTACTGGATGAGGGCCAACCCCTATGGCTTCATTTTACCCAACGATCTCTTTAAGACCCCACTGCCAAATGCGGTCCCATTGGGAGGTCCTGGGGGTGAGGGCTGCAGTGTATGAAAGTGGGGGAGACGCAGTGCAGCTGGTGACGCAGCCCCGCAGAGCTGAGCGCGTTGCCCGGCACACACTCGTGCCGACTCAGTGTGCGGCTGGGTTGGTGGCCCCTCGAAGGCGTCTGTTAAATTTGTTTATTTCTAGCATCGCAGAGTCACCAAGAAAGCGAGGCTGGAGCTCCACTCTCTCTGTGGGTTTGTCGTCACGCAGTGCAGCTTTCTCACAGAGTGGATCAAAGACTCACCACACTTTAAAAAAAGGAAGAAGAAAGAAGAAGAAGAAGGAGAAGGAGAAGGGGAAGGACAAAAATTTCAGATAAGTTGACTCCTGGGGGCTGGCGCAGCTCCACGGGACGCCCTCCACAGCTGGTGGCCTCGGCTTCTCCTGAAAAATGCTTCATTCACTCCGGCAGCTGTGCCCTCGGGGGCTGCCACGTGCCTGAAACTGAGGCATGGAGAGCCCATCTCTGCAGCAGAACCAGCAGCAGTGGGTACAGGAGAGCCAGTGACACTCAGGCCCGGGACCACGCCAGCCTCGCCAGGCAGAGACGGAGCACAGAGCCCAGGTGACCTGCACACTCAGGTCACAGAAACAACTGAAGCCCAGGCCCCCAGGCTCAGGCCGGAGACCCCAGCGCTGGCCTTGCTGTTGCAGGAGTGGGTGGGCTTCTTTTCTCCCTGCTGTGCCACACCAGACTCACTGCCCACCGGGGCTTTCGCCGGAGAGAGAAAATACTGAGGTAAACGAGGCCTGCTTGGGCTGTTGAGGTCCCTGAAAGTCCGTGGCTGTAAACTCGTTCAGCAGTTACAACACAGAGCTTGTGGAACATGAGGGAAGCCCCTGGGAGTTGATCGAAACATGTATAAGGAGAGAGTGTAATAATTAATGGTAATAAAATCATAATAATGCCACTTACCACGCACCAGGCACTGTCCTAGGACTCTGCGTATATTAACTCATTTCATTCTCACAATAAACTCATGAAATCTTCCCCAGTTTTCAGTGATGAACCAGAGCCACGAGGGCTCAAAAAATATGCCCCATGTCATCCAACCGGAAGGTGACAGCCAGGATCTCCACCCAGGTGGGCTCCTAGGTCCTGCTTCAGACTTGCACATTAGAAGCCTGTGCAGCTGGTGACAGCTCCCACCTGGCTTTCACGCACCTTTAACTCAACAATAGAGGCAGCCCCTGATGATGAGGAAGGAGATGGGGTGATGGGGTGCAGGCCGTAGTGTCGAAGGGCAGAGGAGGGAAACACCCAAAGGAGGCCGACAGCCACTCTCAGAGGGCGCGATGCCTGGTGGACATGGAATAGCCTGACAACCGGTCGTCTTGGTGCCGGAAATCCCGTCTCATCCTGACACTCAGCCGCGTGACCCTGGCAAGTCACTTAACATCAAAAGCTTTATTTTCCTAATTTATGCATGTGACAGGTTGCATTTTCCAGTGATGGCTACACTGGTATATTTAGTCCAACCGCATGGTCTCCCACAATGCCCCTCCCACTGAGGGGCTCCCCTCCCACTGAGGGGCTCCTTACTGCCCCAACCAATGGACTGCCAATCTAGGTCATGAAATGTGTGGACCCCTGCCTGGCACGTGCACTCTCTCTTTCTCTCCCTCCCCATGACCACAGTGCCGCCTCGCACCCTCGGTCTCTGTCTCTCTGTCTCACCATGTCTCTCCCAACGTTCACCTTTGGAACTCAGCCACCATGTTGTAAGGAAGTCTTGACACAGGGGGATGCCACGTGTAACATTCTAGTGACAGCCCCAGCTGCAGTCCTAGCTGGCAGCTATCACCCCCCGCAAGGCCTGTGGGTGGATGAGCCTTCGGGGGGGTCCAGCCCCCAAGCTTCCTGTCGTCCTGCTGAAGCCCAGACTTCAGGGAGCAGGGTGGAGCCATCTGTGCTGTACCCCATCCCTGTTCCTGACCCACAGAAATGGATAACAATATAATCAATTGGAGTGTAATTTTCTATTTTAGGTATTTGTGAAAATTAAGTGAGACTATGTGAAAAGGTTTTGTAAACCATTATGAGATACACAAGTATTGGACATTATTATGACAATACTTATGAGAAGCGCCTTGGGTTCTTGAGCACGGAGGTCCAGTTGTAGTATTTCTTTCTAAGCTGCTGTTATGGTTTGAATGTTTGTGTCTCCTCCAAAATTCACATTGAAACTTCATCCCCAGCGCGGCAGTAGTAAGAGGTGGGGCCTTTAGGAGGTGGTAGGCCCTGCGGGTTCTGCCCTCATGAATGGGACTAGTAACTTTATAAAAGGGCTGGAGGGAGCTAGCTTGGCCCATTCCTGCGTGGCCCCAGGTCTGAGTGTCACTGGCTCCCCTGCGCCCACTGCTGCGGGTTCTGCTGCAGAGACGGGCTCTCCATGGCTCAGCTTCAGGCATGTGGCAGCCCTGGGGGGCCACAGCCACTAGAGTGAATGAAGCATTTGTCAGGAGAAGCTGAGGCCACCAGCTGTGGAGGATGTAGGTGGAGCTGCTCCAGCCCCCAGGTGTCAACGTATCTGAAATTTTTGCCTGATTTTTGCCTTTCCCTCTTTTTTTTTTAAAGTGTGGTGAGTCTTTGATCCAGTCTGTGAGAAAGCTGTACCCCGTGACGACAAAACCACAGAGATGGTGGAGCTCCAGCCTCACTCTCTTGGTGACTCCACGATGCTATAAATAAATAAATTTAACAGACAACTTCGAGGGACCACCAACCCAGCCCTTTGGTCATGTGAGGACACAGCATTGAAGGCACCATCTTGGAAACACAAAAGCATGTCCTCACAGACTTGGAACCTGCTGGTGTCTTGATCTTGGACTTCCCAGCCTCCAGAGCTAAGACAATAAGTTTCTACTGTGTATAAATTACCCAGTCTATAGTATTTGGTTATAGCAGCACAAATGGTCTAAAACAGTCATGCTGACAGTTTCAGTAGAAATTTGGTAAGGAGAGTCTTGCAAAATCTGTGAGCTCTTAATACATAATATGTTTTCCATCCCCTGTCTCTGAGGTGTTGGTGCCCTACAGCACCTGCTGCTAGTGTGATGGCCACCATCTACTGAGCATCTGTTTTGTACCAGGCGCGAGTAACCTGGAGCAGAGACTTCCCATCATTCCTCAATTGGCAGGATCCCTGTGATTGGATCTTCCACAGAATTGGGTGTCAGAAGCTGCTTAGTTGTCAGGGCGATTTCTCTGCTCTGAAACCTAGGGTGGGGCCATGGCTCACTGTGGAGGCAGAGGACATCCTCCTATACCAAAGCACTGGGGTCCAACGTGGCCTGTGGTGTGAGGCATGGCAGATGCCATACAGTGTGGGGCTTAACTTAGCCACAGAGTTCAGGCAACTGTATCTGATCCTGAAGTGTTATTTTCTCTATATATTACTAGTTTATATACATAAAACTATTAATCCTGATATGGCACTCTTTTTACATGAAAACATTCCAAGAGCGTGAAGTGAATGCGTTTGGCCTCGGATGGAAGGAGAGCGAAGGGACGGAGAATTGACTTCCTGAGTCATGGACTGGACGCCGAATGTAGTACCTGTATCGATCAGATTTCCCCAGGGAAATAAAACCAAGTCTATATCCACATATATCTCAAGGGAGACAGAGAGAGGGGAGGGGAGTGTGAAGAACCCGTCCTGCACAGTTTTGGGGCCTAGTGGGTAAGTCTGATTTTCTGGGCAGCTGGAAACTGAGGCAGGATCAGGCCCTTCCCAGGAGTTTCCTCCTCTGCAGGGGGACCTCGGCTCCCCTCTCCAGGCCTTTCTGCTGACCAGTCAGCCTCCCCACCCCGACGAGGTTATGCAGGATGATCTCCTCTACGACAGGGTAATGGGGGGTGTTCGTCTCATTTACAGAATACGTTCACGGCAGCACCGCGTAACCGAGCATGGTGGCCTGGCCAGGGGACTCCCAAGCCTGACTGTCTCAGTCTACTCTTGGACCTGCCACCCTCCACATTGCCTGAGTCTTATACTCGTCTCCAGATCAAGACAGCAGCAAAGTCACACTGCTGCCCGAAACACAAGTATGCTGCACGCAACTGAAAACATGCTCCCTTTCCCCAGAAGATGAATGTCTGGGTGATGTCCAGGCTTATCCTGGATGTCCTGCAGCAGAAATGAGGGAGGCCTGTACATGAGAGTCGCCCCAGCCGGTACAGTCACCCCCATCTTCGCATGCTGGTTCTGTGGCACAGGGAGTCCAAGGCAGGCCTCACTTTCAGTTCAATGGAATCACTGCTGTGTCTCCTGGTGGAAGCATTTCTCCCTTGGGAACTGACACCTGTTGGCCAGCAGGGGTGTTGGGGACAGGAAACAAAAATGTTGCCAGTGGGTCACTAGGGGTAACACTGAGTGGTGCCACTCTCATTTCCACCCTGTTGATTCCTGGGCCCGTGAATCCCGGCCAGGAGAGACAGCACTACATAAAATCTGATGCAGATTTAAAGCACCTTGGGAAGAACCTTGCCCCAGCCCTGCAAGGGGCTGCCACCTGGCTGGCATGGTAACTGAGTCTTCAAAAGGCCATTCCTCTGTTCCATGAAGCCAGCCACTCCAGGACGGTGGGAACATGGTAAGACTGGGGAATCCGTGAGCGTGGGCCCATTGCAGCCCTTCTTTCCTACAAGGTGAGTTCCTTGGTCAAAAGCAATGCTGTGTAGAATACCATGACAGTGGGAAAGGCATTCTGTAAGTCCTCGGATAGCCGTTTTGGCAGAAGCATTGCATGCAGGGAAGGCAAATCCGTATCTGGAGTAACTGTCAATTCCAGTAATAATAAAGCACTGCCCTGTCCACAATGGAAGTGGTCCAGTGTAACCAGCTGGCTACCAGGCAGCTGGCTGATCATGCCAGAGAACGGTAAAACACCTGGGACTCAGGATTGGGTGTGAGCGTTGCTATAGACTGGGAGAGAGGAAGGAGACCTTTAATACAATTTAAACTTGGAATGGATTGGGTAAGAGCGTTACTGTAGACTAGGAAAGAGGAAGGAGACCTTTAATACAATTTAAACTTGGAATGGATTGGGTAAGAGTGTTGCTATAGACTAGGACAGAGGAAGGAGACCTTTCATACAATTTAAACTTGGAATGGATTGGGTAAGAGCGTTACTGTAGACTAGGAGAGAGGAAGGAGACCTTTAATACAATTTAAACTTGGAAAGATGTTTTCCTTTGAGTGAAGACCACTAAGTGAGGAGGAAGGAGCTTGCAAGCCGCCGGGTCATGCACCACTACCCAGACAGTGTTGTTGCCTGCCCAGCAGCCATTTCTCTCAGGTCTTCTCTGCTAGTGCAGCCTCAGTTTTGCTCAGATACTGGCTGAAAAGTCCCCAACCTCAGAGGAGGCCAGTTCCTGCCTCAAGCCGGGGGATAAACCGTGGTTGCTCAGAAACAGCCATGGGGCTCCCTTTCCATGCCAGTAGGTTAGGCCGTGTGTGCCTGTGTGCCCAACTCTTGCCATAAAGTGTAGGAGAAACTTGGCCAGGGGATGCTATGGAAAATATTTTTCCCAGATGAAAAGGAGTATCTTCCCAGAGAGAAAGCTTCCTTCTGCACCTGTCTCCTACCTTTCTCCTTCAGATGTTGCTGTTTGGAGCTGAGGCAGCCGTCCTGTGACCATCTGTCAACAAAGGTAAGGATAAAAAGACAAGCTCAAAAAGATATTGGCGCGATATTTATCAAAGTTATTTTTAAGAGCAAAAATGAAGAAAGAAATTTTTAAAATGTCCATACAGTGAAATACAATCATAGACATGTTATTGGTAAGAAAATGTTTACGATAATTTATTAGGGGACAAAGGCAGGTCACGAATGGGATGTAGGAACCCATCCTGTGGGTAGGTGGGCGTGTCTGCAAAAGACCATAGGAAAATACATCAATACTGGTCATCTTTGGATGGTAAAATTATGAGTGACATTTGTTTTCTAATTTTTCTTCAATGCATTTGTAATACATTGTGTATATCTCAGTACTGAATTGTAATGTGAAATGTTTTCTTACGGTGTGATATGGTTTGGATCTGTGTCCTCACCCAAATCTCATGTTGAATTTAATTCCCAGTGTTGGAGGAGGGAACTGGTGGGAGGTGACTGGATCATGGGGTGGACTTCCCCCTTGCTGTTCTTGTGATAGTGAGTGAGTTCTCCTGAGATCTCCTTGTTTAAAGGGTGTAGCACCTCCCCACCCACTTGCTCTCTCTCTGCTGCTAGACATGTGAAGACATGCCTGCTTCCCCTTTGCCTTCCACCATGATGATAAGTTTCCTGAGGCCTCCCCAGAAGCCGAAGCCTGTACAGCTCACAGAACCATGAGCCAATTAAACCTCTTTTCTTTATAAATTACCCAGTCTCAGATGGTTCTTTATAGCAAAGCCAATACACAGTGGAACACAGTTAAAAAAAAAAAAGAAAAGAAAAAATAGTCAGTGTTCTTCAAAATGGGACTTTACCTAAAAGTAGAATCACTGTATTATTAGGAATGCAAAAATCTTCAACGTGAGTAGAGGTGTAGTTTCCTGGGGGCAGCCATAACAAATCGTCACAAAGTAAGTAGCTTCCAAGAACAGAAATGTGTTGTTTCTCAGTTCTGGATACAGAGTCAGAAATTAAGCTGTCAGCAGCTGTGCTCCCTCTGAAGGCTCCAGAGGAGAATCCTTCCTTGCCTTTTCCAGCTTTTGGTGGCTCCAAGCATCCCTTGGCTGGTGGCTGCATCACTGCAACCTCTGCCTCCATCTTTACATGGCTTCTCCCTTGTGTCACTGTGTCCTGTCCTCCTAAGGGCACTGGTCATTGGATTCAGGACTCCAAATCCAGGAAGATTTCATCTCAAGATCTTTAACTTGACTCATCCGCAAAGATCCTTTTGTGAATCTTTTGTGAATAAGGTCACATTCATAGTTACTAGGGATTAAGACACACATATTTTTTGGAGGGACATTATTCAACCCAGTAGAGTGGATAATACCAAGTGGCTTTCAAAAGGGACTTTTACTACTGAATTCTCATGACATGAGGTTGTGAGAGTTCCACTTACTCTGTATCCTCACATTTTTTATTGTCAGGTTGTTTAATTTTGTTAATCAGGTACCTATGAATTATTATCTCTCTTTTCCCATTTGCCCCAATAATACTCGCTGGTGGTACTTGTGGTTGCAGCATTTACCCCAGGACACCTTTGCCACCATTATGTTTTTAGTAGTGGTATTTCCCTTTGCAAAATATAATAATTCTTGATTGCTGAAAATGTCAAATCCTAGAAAATGTAGCATTCCTACATGTGATGTTAACACTGTTCTTAAACGGTTGTTGGCCAAAGATTTGTTTGATGAATCCAAGTCTTCCGAAATAGATGATTCTCATGATTCAGATTATTCTGATGTTAGTTTTGTTTAGAAATAATTCCAAAAACAGTTTTTCTATTTGATTTTCATATTGAAACTCAGTCAGATTTGCTTCAGCCTCAAAGAGCGTGTTTATGTAAAAGCAAATGAGCGCTGGCAGTAAGCTGCACTTTTTTCTTTGTAAACAGGAGAAAGGTTAATTCATATTTTTCTGATTGCTAAAGAGATTATCTTCTTTCTTTCTTTTCTTCTCCTTTTGCTATTCATGTTTCTATTCATGTCTTCTGTGAAACACTTGTTCATGTCTTTTTTCCATTTCTATCGTGTTTATTTCTTTTTGATTTGCAGGTCATGTGGCTAACTTTGTCAGGAGGGACCAGTCTTCAGGGCATCTGTAGCATTTTTTATTTCCATCCGTAACGCACCAGTGCTCCCGATGCTCCCCATCCTTGCCAGCACTGAGTGTTTGGAACCTGTTTTATTGCAGGCCTGCTCATAGGCATGCAGTTGTATCTCGCAGTGGCTTTAAGTTGCATCTCCGAAAGGACTAATGATGCTGAATATCTTTTCACGTGCTAAGGTGCTTTCCACATATTCTCTTTGGTGACACGTCTGTTGCCTACTTTTATACTGGTTGCTTATTTCCTACTGTTGAGTTTTCAGAGTTCTTTATAGACTCTGGATAACAGTCTTTCATTGGATATGTGACTTGCAAATATTTTTTCTCAGTCTATAGGTTACCTTTTAAGTCTACTCAGCAGTGTCTCTTGCAAAGGAGAAAATTTTACTTTTGATTAAGTCCAATAATTATTTCATTTGATTGATGAAGTATGCTTTTGGAGTCATATCTACCAGTTCTTTGACTAATCCCAGGTCACAAAGAATTTCTTCTACACTTTTTTCTAAACATTTTATAGTTTTGTGTTTTACATTTAGTCCTAAGATCTGTTTCCGTTTTGTATAAGCTGTGAGTGTCAAGTCAAAGCTCTTTTTATTTAACTTTTTGCATATGGTTATCCAATTGTTCAAACACAATTTGTCGAAAAGACATCTTTTCTTCTTTGAATTGCCTTTGTAACAGTGTAAAAACCCAAATGGTCATGTTTGTGTGAGTTTATTTCTAGACTCTCCGGTGGGCATCCTTTCTGTGACAGCACATATAGATATCCTTTCGGTGATAGCATCCTTTCTGTGATAGCATCCTTTCGGTGATAGCATCCTTTCTGTGATAGTATCCTTTCTGTGACGGCATCCTTTCGGTGATAGCATCCTTTCTGTGACGGCATCCTTTCTGTGACGGTATCCTTTCTGTGACGGTACCCTTTCTGTGACGGTACCCTTTCTGTGACGGTATCCTTTCTGTGACGGTATCCTTTCTGTGACGGTATCCTTTCTGTGACGGCATTCTTTCTGTGACGGCATCCTTTCTGTGATAGCATACTTCCTTCATCACCACATCTTTACAATGTCTTAAAATTGAGTAGTGTGATTCCTCCAACTTTACTCATCTTTTTCAAACATGATTTGGGCATTCTATTTTCTTTGAATTTCCAGATAAATTTTAAAATTTGATTCTCTATATCTATAAGAAATCCATAATTTGGGGAGCTTCCCAGCTCTTAGGATGGATATACTTTGTCTATTCTGGAAAATTCCCCATCTGTCTCCACTTGTTCCCGTAACTATTCTGTAATTATCATCATAAATGTGGCAATCATCCTCACTTGATCCTTAAAGCCTCTTAATATTTATTTCCTATTTTTCTCTTTTTTCTTCCAGAACTGCATTCTGAATAATTTCTTCAACTTTATCTTCCAGCTCCTTGATTCTCTCTGCAGTTGTATCAAATGTGCTGCTTACCCTTTCTGTTGAGTCTAATTTCATATACATATTAAAAAATTCTAGGGCTTTTGAGTGGTTTTGAAATCTTCCTGGTCAATTTTGACAACCTTATGCTGCTTTCTCAGACTTTTAATATCCTCGTGTATTTCCTTCAATGTGTTAAACATTCTTCTTTTCTGTTCTGTATCTAATGCTTTCTGTATCTTCAGTTCTTTGCAGTTGACTTTTTGCCTCACGTCTTATTTCCTGTGTGTTTCTTGGTTTTGATTATGAGCCCATGTGTCTTGGTATTTTATCTTTCATAATTCTTTGAGGATTTAAAGTGAGTTTCTTCAAGGAGGATTTTATTTTGTTTCTTCCAAGAACTCAGGAGTACTATCAATTCTGGGATGCTTCAAGTTAAATTTTTGTCTTTCTTAACAATCATATAGTTAGTGTACATTTGGACCTCAAAGCCCGTGAGCGCAGGCTTATGGCTGGGAATTCTGAGGGAAGACTTTACTTGCACTGCTCTCAGAGCCAAGGCTGAGGCCACCATCAGTGGGCAGAAGTTTCTGTTCCACTGATTCGGGTACTGTGCCCTGGCCGCCCCGCACAGGCCTCAGGCTCCGTCTCCTTCGAGAGTGAGGTCCGCTGAAAGTCGGATGACCAGGACCATGGGTGCTAGCAGATACCTCGGGGAAGAGTGCCAGTTTAAATGCACCTTTATTTTCTCAACGTGTTTCTGACTCTGATAAATTCTGTTATTTTCCCTCAAACTCGGCCATTCAGTAAAAGAATTTTTTTTCTTTTCATCTATCTGGCATGTTAAGTGTGGTGTACCAAAGCTAGTTGTTTTTGAAAAGCAAATCCATCGAATTACTGAAAATAAAGTCCAGGCACCTTGAACTTTAAAATTGTAAACACACCCATCATTGCTCCATAAGTCCTGGCAGATAATGTGACCTAACCTTCCTCATTTTGTAGATAAACTAACTGAGGCTCAGACCTACAAAAGTTAAGCAGGAAAGAACACAGCGATGGGATGGAAGCCACAGCCCAGAGCCCTGGGCCCCTGGCAGGACACTTCCTGTCCCCCTCTGCGCCCTGAGCAGCCAGTTTCCAGTTCAGGGCTTTGTAGCTGAGCGCGCAGCCCCAGCCTTGCTGACATAGCACCTTCGACCCAGGCTTTGCAGGTAGCCGGCGGCGGGGAACAGTGGCCAAGTCCCCCGGGGGGTCTGGTGAGCAAGGGCAGGGGGAGATTCGTGACAGGAACGATGCCCAGGGTGAAACAGAAGGGGCGATAAGCAGTGCCCCGCCAGCCCACGAGCCACAGGGAGCCACACGGAGACGTCACGCGGCACACGTGGAGTCCCACACCCACGTCGCACAGAGTCCGGGCTCTACACATCTGCAGGTGGCTTGCACATCAGGAAAACCAGTGAAGCCCCCGCGGAAGGAAGCCTTTCCTAGCTGCGCGTGCCGGTTGGATACAGCCCGAATTAGTGCTATTTTCCAACGTGAAGTTCTGTTTTGGCCGAAATAAGAAAGCGACCCACACTCGGAAGGAAGCACCTGAGACTCGTGTCCTTCCTCGTTGGCTCGTTGGTGCTCGGCGGCGCCAGACCGCTGTCCGAGAGACGACATCTCAGCGGACACAGCGCATCTGTGTGGCCAGCACAGATACAGAGAACCCCGGAGTAAGCCTCCTCCCGCCTCCCCAAACCCACACCCATGCCAGCGTTTCCGCGCTCACCCCGTTGTCCCTGCAGGCCCTGGCTGGGCATGAACTGGGCGCCTTCATCCCAGCGCCGTGTCCGGGTGCGCGCCGAAAAGGCCGAATTCCGGTTTCTTGCAGCCAGCAGGGGGGCCTTGGCTTTCCATCAAGATTTTTTCCCAGGAGGATATTATCTCACGTGAACAAAACTCAGGAGGAGTCAGAATAGGCTCCGGAAGAACTCTGTGCTCTCTGACTTTTTAAAACCTTACAGAAACAGCAGCCCACCCCAGGCTCCTGGTGCTGTGAAGGCTGATTCCGATTCCCAGGAGGTGGGCAGTGTCTCCTGGCGTCTGTTTCTGCCCCTGCTAATAGGGCTGGATGCGGAGCTTTTCTGACCTGAGGGAAGATCAGGGAACCCACTACTAATTCACTCAGGTGCCAGCGACCCAGGATCTTATCCATAAAGACTCTAGAGTGCTGAAGCAGCTCCCAAGAACCCGGAAAATGCAAAATAAATTTCTCCTCCCTAAAAATAAAAAGTAATGCAGAAGACAGGCACTTTTAATATCAACATGAAAACAAAGCACCAGTTAATAAAAATATAAATCTTACATTAAATCACCACTCTTAGTTGAATTTGAGGAGTGTGGTAGCAGACTTGCTGAAAATATTTCTTCCCTCCTAATTTTTTGATACCTTTTCCAATTTATCCCAGATCTCATCTCTTCCACACAGCCTGCTCCGTCCTTTCTCAAGAGTGAAATGATGGCTCTCCTTCATCTCCACCTTTCACAGTCTCTCTGCCCTGCCCACTAGGGGAAGAGTGCCTGGGCACTACAAGAATTTAGTACCAATTGCCCTTCCTTCCTTCCTTCCTTCCTCTTTCCCTTCCTCTTTCCCTTCCTTTTTTCCTTCCTTTCTTCTTTCCTTCTTCCTTCCTTCTTTCCTTTCCCCCTTCCTCCCTCTCTCCCCTCCTTCCCTGCCTTCCTTTCTCTCTTCATTCCTTCCTCCTCCCCCCTCCTTCCCCTCTTCCTTCCTTCCTTCCTTCCCTTCTTCCCTTCCTTCCTTCCTCTCTCCCTCCCTCTTTCCCTTCCTTCTTTCTTCCTTTCTCCCTCCCTCCCTCTCTCCCCTCCTTCCCTGCCTTCCTCTCTCTCTTCATTTCTTCCTCCTCTCTCCTCCCTTCCCTCCCTCCCTTCCTTTCTTCCTTCCTTCCTCTCTCCCTCCCTCTTTCCTTTGCTTCTTTTTTCCTTCCTTTCTTCCTTCCTTCTTTCCTTTCTCCCTCCCTCCCTCTCCCCTCATTCCCTGGCTTCCTTTCTCTTTATTCCTTCCTCCTCCCTCACCTCCCTTCCTCCCTTCCTTCCTTTTTTCCTTCCTCCCTCCCTCCCTCCATCCCTTCCTTCTTTCCCTCTTTCCTCCCTCCCTCCCTCTTTCCCTACCTTCCTTCCTTCTTTCTTTACTTTTCTTCCCTCCTTTCTTTCTTCCTTCCTTGTCTCCCTCTCTCCCTCTCTCCCTCTCTTCCCTGCCTTCCTCTCTCTCTTCATTCCTTCCTCCTCCCTCCCTTACGCCCTCTCTCCCTCCCTCCCTCCCTCCTCCCTGCTCCTGCCTCCTCAGCACCCTGTTTCCCGGTTCCCTGGTCCCCTGGTTCCCTGGTCCCCTGGTTCCCTGGTTTCCTGGGTCCCTGTTTTCCTGGTTCCCTGTTTTCCTGGTTCCCTGGTTTCCTGGTTCCCTGGTTCCCTGGGTCCCCTGGTTTCCTGGTTCCCCTGGTTTCCTGGTTCCCCTGGTTCCCCTGGTTCCCTGGTGCCCTGGTTTCCTGGTTCCCCTGGTTCTCTGGTTCCCTGATACCCTGGTGCCCTGGTTCTCTGGTGCCCTGGTTCCCTGTTGCCCTGGTTTCCTGGTTCCCCTAGTTCTCTGGTTCCCTGGTTTCCTGTTTCACTGTTTCCTGGTTCCCTGGTTTCCTGGTTCCCTGGTTCCCCTGGTTCCCTGGTTCCCTGGTTTCCTGTTTCACTGTTTCCTGGTTCCCTGGTTTCCTGGTTCCCTGGTTCCCCTAGTTCTCTGGTTCCCTGGTTTCCTGTTTCACTGTTTCCTGGTTCCCTGGTTTCCTGGTTCCCTGGTTCCCCTGGTTCCCTGGTGCCCTGGTTCCCTGGTTCCCTGGTGCCCTGGTTTCCTGGTTCCCCTGGTTCTCTGGTTCCCTGATACCCTGGTGCCCTGGTTCTCTGGTGCCCTGGTTCCCTGTTGCCCTGGTTTCCTGGTTCCCCTAGTTCTCTGGTTCCCTGGTTTCCTGTTTCACTGTTTCCTGGTTCCCTGGTTCCCTGGTTTCCTGGTTCCCCTGGTTCCCTGTTTCCCTGGTTCCCTGGTTCCCTGGTTCCCTGGTTCCCTGGTTTCCTGGTTCCCCTGGTTCTCTGGTTCCCTGATACCCTGGTGCCCTTGTTCTCTGGTGCCCTGGTTCCCTGTTGCCCTGGTTTCCTGGTTCCCCTAGTTCTCTGGTTCCCTGGTTTCCTGTTTCACTGTTTCCTGGTTCCCTGGTTTCCTGGTTCCCTGGTTCCCTGGTCCCCTGGTTCCCTGGTGCCCTGGTTCCTGTTCCCACGGCTGCCGCATCTATTATGCCCGCGCCCCTCCTGTTCCATGAAGGTAATGGGTGCTCCTCCTCTCTTGATCTTTCTTTGCTCTTCTCTTCCAAAAAAAGTGGGGGGTGCATATTAAACAAACACTCATCACAGTCTTCATTATTTTGGCAAGGAAAACAAATGGAAATCAAGTCATCTTTTTCCTGTCAGGGTGCTGATGAAGGAAACGTCAATAAACCGAACAACGTACTGTGTGACTGCCTGGCTTGAGATCTTCGAGTACAATAAAATAAAATAAAATAAAATAAAATCCTAACAGGGAGAAGAGTTTCATCATGTTCTGTTTCAAACTCCAGGCTACACTTTCTTGATGCTACCCAGTCCTCACCTGACTAACACGAGCTGAATAAGAATGGACATTGGCATGCTCAGGATCTAGAGGCAAGATCCCAGCAGCCCGATGCCCTCAGCCCCAGCCCCAGCCCCAGCCCCAACTCCCTCATGTCATGCAGCCACACACAGCCCCACACAGCCCCACCGCCTTGACTACAGGCATGGTCAAGGCACGAATGGTTGATCTCAAATATCTCCAGGCATTGTTACTCACCGAGAGAGCTTGGACACTCACGTGCAAAGTCAGAGACAGAGAGAAAGACAAAGGGGTAGGGGGAGATGCTTTTGAAAGAGCATTCAAGGATGTTCTGAGGAAGACATCCAAGCATGCAAGTGGCCTGTTAGCTCTGATGTGACCTATACACTTGCTTCAGCAGGAATCCACACAGGTCCAAGCATCAAGTGACCTGTTAGCCCTACTGTGAACTAGTACACTTGTTTTACCAGAAGTCACACAGGATCCTTAAAGCATCCTCATTCTTTCTCCGTACAGGTTCTGGATGGAGGTCTCATGAGGGATTCGGGCAGAGGCTGATGAAAACATAAAACAGGCCAGTCTCCAGATTCAAGGGAGAGCTGGAGACAGCATTCATAGCTTGACCAGGCAGCTTTGACCAGGTGTGACAAAGGAAGCCCAGATGTCCCAGTCTATTCATGTTTCTATCACAAAATGCCTTTGAATTAGTAATTTATAAACAATAGAAATTTATTTCTTATCGTTCTGGAGGCCGGAAAGTCCACGATGAAGACACCAGCTGGTTCCCAGCCGGTGGGTGAGGACCCAGCCTCTGCTTCCAAGATGGCACCTCTGGGCTGCATCCTCACGTAGGGAGGGGGTGGGAGAAGAAAAGGGGCTGGGCATGCCCTTCAGCCTCCATTATAAGGCACGGATCCTGTTCACGAGGGAGGAGCCCGCATCACTCAGCCTCCTCTCAGAAGGCCCCACCTGTTAACATCACACGGGGCTTAGGTTTCACTGTACGTATTTGAGAGGCACCTACATTCAGACTATAGCACAGGCCAGCCCCCCACTGCTTCCCATACTGCCAGAGGCTGGGGCAGCTCCCCGGCCACCATGTTCCGCCAGCAGGATGGCTCCTGTCAGCCAGGTGTGCGGGACCTGGGCACACTGGCAAGAAGCAGGGAGGGCAGCCCAGACCCAGCCGCCCCATGGCTGCTCCGGGAGACTGTGTCCCTGTTGGAGACTGTGATAGATCCACGATCCGTCCCAGCCATTGCTCCATCTGTCTTGTCCATCAACCCCTCTGCCAGTATCATATGGTAAATAGTACCATGAATACTACAGTTCCAGGCACCCAGGTCACATCAGAGAACTGACGAGTTAGAGTTTAACGACACAGTTTGTAGCTGGGGGGGCTGCTTCAGAGCTGATGACTGGGTGGCATTGCTGCCTGGAGCTGGTGACTGGGTGGCATTGCTGTCTGGAGCTGGTGACTGGGTGGCATTGCTGTCTGGAGCTGATGACTGGGTGGCATTGCTGCCTGGAGCTGGTGACTGGGTGGCATTGCTGCCTGGAGCTGGTGACTAGGGTGGCATTGCTGCCTGGAGCTGGTGACTGGGTGGCATTGCTGTCTGGAGCTGGTGACTGGGTGGCATTGCTGCCTGGAGCTGGTGACTGGGTGGCATTGCTGTCTGGAGCTGGTGACTGGGTGGCATTGCTGTCTGGAGCTGGTGACTGGGTGGCATTGCTGTCTGGAGCTGGTGACTGGGTGGCATTGCTGCCTGGAGCTGGTGACTAGGGTGGCATTGCTGCCTGGAGCTGGTGACTAGGGTGGCATTGCTGCCTGGAGCTGGTGACTAGGGTGGCATTGCTGCCTGGAGCTGGTGACTAGGGTGGCATTGCTGTCTGGAGCTGGTGACTAGGGTGGCATTGCTGTCTGGAGCTGGTGACTAGGGTGGCATTGCTGTCTGCAGCTGGTGACTGGGCGGCATTGCTGCTTGGTTGTTGTCAAGCCTCCCCAAGGTCTAAGGTCACCAGCAGGAATGCCCCGGAAGGAGAGGGCATAACTGTAGTTCTAGGAGTCTGAGGCCGTTTAACCTTTTCTCCATCATTTAGCAGCTTAGAAATTCATGTCATTCCCCATCTAGGCCTCAATTTCTCTACCTGTAAAATGGGATGTTTGACCCGACTTCCCTTTACCTGTGAAATCCTAGGACCTCATCATGTCACTTTCATGCAGCAGAGGCAGCGACCACTGGAGAGGGACACTAAGGACTGCTCCTGGATCTTGTTTAAACACAAGGAGCTGGGTTTCGAAGACTCCACGAGGGACTTTAGGACCCTACGTTACTTATCGACATAAAAAGAGGAGAAGATAAAGCCTCACAATTCTTCCTCCCACTTCCTCAGGTGGCCAATGCTGCTTTTATTGTGGAATGGGTTTGCCACAAAGCCTCAGGCTGATAGATAAGACTCGGGTCTCTGAAAAATGACAGCTTGACATCAAACCAACAAAATCAATTTCCAAATTGATTAAAACCATTCTCAAATAAAACTCCGCTGGCTTTTTCGAATCCCATTGTAAAAGGTCATCTGGGAAGTAAGCACCATATTTGTTTTAAGTTAGCAGAAGCCCGCAGCGCACTTGAGGCCCTACAGTTTCGGGGCCAGGCTGGGCTGACTGGGCCCACACACGCCTCCGCCCTCACCACAGCCGCCAGCTCCAGGGTGCCCACCAGAGCCAGGGCGGGAAGCCACCTCCAGGCTGGCCCTTCGTCTTGGCTCTTTGAAAACCTTTGGGTGAGGTGTGTCTCTTGGATCAAATAAACAATCAACAATTGGCTGCTGTCATTAAGGGAGAGGGTTAGTGCTGAGGGAGACATATCCTGGGGGCATTTTGTGTGATTATGGGGTGATTTATGATTCATAGAGATCAAGCGATAAACGTACTGAAATGCCAAGAAAGAAAATTGGAGAGAAAAATTGCTACAAATGTTATTCTTATTTTTTAAGGAGATTTATTTTATTTGCAAGATTTGTAATTGATGCAAAGCCTGTAAATGCAGGTGCCCCACTGTCAAATCCTCTCCCTTCCAGACCCTTCGTAAAGGCGTGACCTGCTTCAAGAAACACGATATTTGAAAATATGAAATCTACACATCGAGACACATTAAGAGTGACTGTTCGCATGACAAAAGGGTTTGCCACTTTACAAAAGATTCATCCCAGTGTTTCTTAAAGAACCATACAACTGTGATGTATTTTAAATGTCTTTCAATTAAAAGAATTGACTCATGCTCAATTTTGCTTCAACATTATTTCAACTTTATTTCACCTTAAATATCATACAATAAAAACTTATTGTACTGATTTTTATCCCGGGGGAATGTGTCTTCCCCTAGGTTTGATGGAGGAGTCTGGCTCTGAAGGTTGCACAGCAGAAAACCAGCTCTCATTCTATTCTGCCATTAACTGGTAGCAGTGAGCACGGTCCCTTGGGCCTCAGTTTCCCCATCTGTAAAACAGGGACAAGCTACTTGCCCACTAAGCCTATGTTTCAAAATGATCATGGGTTTAAAAACACAGAAAACAAAGGCGCCCAGTGCTTACCAACATGAGGTGTTAATATTCTGTCCCCTGGCCACATCTTAAACAGCCCACCAACCCAGGATGGCTGCTGGACCAGTCCCGGGCAGCGTTATTAAGCGCCTCCAGCTACCTTCAGGCTGTTTCCCTCCTTGTCCATTTCCGACTTCAAGGCCTTCATGCCGGGTCCCGTTTCATCCTCCCTCTGAAACGAGGTTAACAGGAAAGGATCCAGTGCCTGTCCGTTCACCTCATGCCACCCAATGTCCATTGATGCCAGGACACCAGGTACTGAGCTCTTCCCACAGCCTGCCCAGGCTTCCACTGGCAATCGGGTCCCACTGTGCAGATGAACAAACAAATCCCCCATCTCAGGGACTGCCCACAGTCACACAGCCGGGAACACACAAGGGGCCTTTAAAGTTAGTCTCCTCTGCTGACTCCCATGCTCTGCCCGCAAGTGAAAGGCCTTCTCCACCATCACCGCACCGAGGGGGAAACAGAGGCCATCCCGGGGCAGTTGGCCACCCCACAGCCTGTGTGCACATTGGAAGCTGGGCCTGTCATTTGTTTGGGCCCACGAGAGGGACACGGGGCAAGGGAGATGATCTCCCCACTGGAGACCTGTGGCATCATTCAGGCCCTTCTCTGCCCTCTCAGCCAAGGCAGGGTGGCACCAAGTTCTTCACCTCTGAGGGGTGAACTGGCACAGACACCTCTGCAAGCCAGAGCCCTTCCTCCCAGGTCTGCAGTGGCCAGCACCCCTCTCATTTGGTGGTTGGGTCACAAATGTTCTTCCTAAGAATCTCTGCCACCAATGAAGTGTCCCGGACAGCCGCCGTGAAAGAGACCCAGGGCAGGCTTCTGGGGAGGGGCTGCCCCAAAGGGACCATGAGTCCCTGAGGGTCTTGGTGGATGAGCTCAGCTGCAGATGCCAGGCCAGGGGAGCGTGAGCCAGTGCTCAGGAGCTCTGGATGCTTCTAAGAAGGGGCGTCTGTGCAGAGATGCGTTTCTTTGCGTCGGCATGAAGGGGAAAGGGCAAGCGGAGACCACCGTGGTGTGCCATGCTCCAGTGTCCAGAGGACCGTCACATTGCTCAAATCCGCAGCCAGGTGGCACCTCCGCAAGCTGGGCGTGTGATGCGGTGGCGTCTTAGTGACAGTTGGCTTGGCTCCTGGAGGGGACACTGAAGGGTGAAGTGGGGGCTTGTCCAGATTGCTGCCCCTCGCCCACCCAGCACGTCCATCTCCATTCCCCCATCCCACCTGGCACAGGGAAAGCTGAGCTGCTGGAAACACACTGTCCTCAAAGCTCCCTGGCCTCAGCAGCATTAGCCTGGGTCTCGGGCGGTCCTCGAGACTCTGAACTGCGAAGGGACGCAGAGGCAGGGCTTCCACTCACAGGCTGGCTGTCCACTGGCCGCCACTCACACGGGACACGCGGACCACAGGGGTGCCTTTGATCTTCACTCCGCAGCTCCCACATCTGAGTCCTGGGCACTCACCCCTAAAAATCCTCCTCTCTAAGCAACCAGCGAGGATTCCATGGATGACAAAGGGGTGGGGCGGTGTGGAGAAGGTACCACCTCCCACAGCCTCCACTGCAGGCGGGAGCTTTGCTGCAGCACAAAGGACCCGAGGGGCCTGCCCTGCTGGAGCCGGGCCCACCTGACCCCAAGGACCCCGTGGCAGAGCCGGGTGTGGGGGTCGCCATTCATCCTAGAGCTTCCGTCCCAAATATCTCTGCTCAACTTTTTCCTTAGCTTCCCTGCTGACCAAGCATCCCTAACACATGCCTGTGTATCCACACCAAAAAGCCCACTGTGTGCCTAATGTCGCTTCACGAAGGCTGTGGGGCCTTCCAGAAGAAATGGAAGTAGCTATGCAGGCTGAGCAGGAGTGGGCTCCCATGGAAGGGATCGCAGAGAGGCCTCTGGGAACGGAATGGGTGAAGATCCACGCACTTGAGAGAAATCACTGCCAGCAGGAAGAGCAAGTGGGTCCCTCCTGCTGGCCTCCTTGTCCAGTCCTTTCTGCCAAGAAGACAGGAAGCACAATGCTTGTCCTCTGTCGTTTTATCAGCAGTGTCCCCAACGTGAGGACGTAGCAGGCAGAAAACAGGGGCTTTGTGCAGTGAAGTCCTGAGGCTCAGGGGAGCCGCGATGTACTGGGGAAGTGCCTGCCAGGGCTGTGCAGCTGCTCTGAAAACTCAGCAAATTCGGAGTCAGTGATGGACAAACGCCCCCGTGAGCAACAGAGCTGTCAGGCCCTGAGCACACTTTCCTTAGGGGACCATGCCCCCGGGCAGCACCCACGAGCTGCTGAACACACCACACCAAAGACTGGGATTCCGCACAGCCCCGCGGGGCATGCCAAGGGCAAGTCCAAATCTACGTGTGAGTGAGGGGACCTCCACCCTGCCCTGGGTTAAACTAACAGCTAAAACACACACAAACACAGACACATGTACATAAGCACACGCACACATATGCACATGCATACATGCACACAAGCACATGTACATATATACAAACACACATGTGTGCCCATACATACAACATGCATGTGCATGCATAACACAAGCACACACACATACACATGTGCACACACATATATGCACAAGCACAAACACGCATGCATGCAATCACATGTGCCCCATAAGGCAACATATATGTGCATGCACAACACACACACACACATAAGTGCACACCTGCATATGCACAGCACACACATGGGCATGCACTAGTGCACACATACACATGCATGCACAAATGGGCACACATGTGTGCACACACAAACACACATGAACACACTATGCCCTGTGGCTTCCTTTTACAAATGTTGCTGCACTGGGAGACCACCTTCTTCAACTTCCTTTAAAACACCACCCAGAAATACTAAGAAAATCCCCCTCACAGAAGGTGATGGCCCTATTGATTAAAATAAAATTCGATGGAATTATTTTGGAGACATGTCCTTCATCAGTTAAAACGTATGTTAAATTCATTTGATGGTTTCAGAACAGACATTAGGAGTCGCTGGGGAAGCCCTGTTACAAATGAAATCTCTCAAAAGCCACATGTGGCTCCTTCCCTGTGTACTGCTCTTCCTCCTGTCGACACGGCACACGCACACACACAACTAACACACGCACACACGTGCACGCTGTCAGATGTTGCAGTGCGCACTCCATTTCCACATTCGTGCTTTGTAAGGTCTTCCTTTCTGCTTGGCTGTGGCGAGGCTCAGATGCGCAGCTGGCCTCCAAGCTGTGGGTGAGCTGTCCAAAGCCCCGTGCCCTCCAGGAGCTGGAGCTGCCGTTTTGCATCATTTTTTTCTGTTTCCACCGGTTCTTCCTCTCTCCTTCTCTAACCACACAATGTGTAAATACCCCCGGACCGTGCATTGCCTGTTTATTATGCTGCCTCTGAAACACAGATCCCATTATGTGGGGAGAAATGAAAGGAGAACCTGCACGGATCTATTTTTAGCAGGTGGTTGGAATACTATGAATTTTAGGGTGTTTTGCCTCCCTGCCGCTCCTTAGCCCCTTCAATCTTGTCAGCTGTAAAATGGGTCTCTGTTTAACCCCTCATGGATCCTCATGGAGATGAAAGGTGCGCTCATGAATTACTGGTGCTGACAGCCCAGCAAGGCCTCGCCGCAGGGGGTCCCCTTTGTTCCGTCCACTCTGACCTCCCGCGCCCTGTCTGTCTGTGGGAACCGGACCAGAAGAATGTGGGGAGGAGTCAGGAGCACAGAAGCGGCAGGCCCGCTCCTGGCCAGGGAGAGCTGCCATTCTTCTGCTGCAAATATTCTGACCTCATCTGGGGCACACCTCCACCCTGATGCGATCCATCGGTGACCTCCTTTGTGCTTTGCAAACCGAGACAATAGGTTCTGCTCCAGAATCGTCCACACAAGGGCAGGAAGGGTGCTTTTCCTGAGCGCAGAAGTGTGTTTCATTTTCTTGTGTGTGTGGGAAGAAAGTGGCTATGCGCTGAACCCTGCTCTGAGGAGGGGAAATCAGAGCTGGAAGTCCGGCGGGAAGCAAGTCTTCACAATGCACAAAGATCATTTCAGGTTAAAGCCAAATCATAGTTGAGAAGTGACCTGTTGTTTCAAAGGAATGAGGCACCAAGCCTTCCAGCGGGAGTAGAGATTCGTTCAGCAGTCGCATCTGATTTGCAATAAAGAAAGTTCAAGGAAGTATTAAAAGCCATGAATGAACCATCTGTCCAACCTGAGAAAGTGCACCCGCAGAGGGAAGAGGGTCTCTCTCATCCTCTAAGCACCTTGAGGCCGCCCTCACCATCCCCCGAGGAAGTGCCGGAACACACAAGCTCATCAAGTTTCCTAGAATAATGAAAAGCGTTTCCGAAAATAACCTGAGGAAAACAACATTTGGTAACACTGAAGTTTGGAAAAGAGAAACTGCAACACAGTGTGAATTTATTTCGTGAAGTTTCTACTTCATAAGAACACATGTTTTAAGTTCAAATAACTAATTCGTGTGTTTGTGTTCATTTATTTGGAATACTAATTTAAAAAAATCCTTGTCAAGGCAGAACAGTACCAATGACAATCCCCAAATTAATAAATAAATAGGAGCTTCAGATGATTTAATACAGAGCTTTCAGACAACAAAAGGTCACTCTCTGTTGTGAGAGCAAAATGTCCTTTTCTCCCCTTAAAATAAAAAGGTGTTTTAAAAAATTAACTATAAGTCACTTTACTTTAAAAATAAGAATGCAGCCATGGCCCTGGGTTCCTCAGGAGAATAATCATGTCCCCCGTGTCTGTGGGACAGATAATGGGTGATCGACATGCACTCTGCACCAGGAGTGGTTAGAAGATCCGCCGAGCTTCCTTACTGAAAGTGGCTGCTGCGGGCAAGTTCTGTTTCCGCCGAGCACTCTTTGTGTTGCCAATAAACAGCATAATTCTAGTCTGCTTACAGGTACAATTTAGAGAGAAATTGAGTGACGAAAGGCGAGGTGATTTCTTCCAGATGCCTGCTGGCGGAGCAGGACGCACCTGACAGATTCCCGGTTCACACTTTTATTTTGTATGAGAAAAAAGCAGGTTTTAATAAAATTTCTGTGTGTAAATAGTTTTAAAACTAAAACCACTATTCCCACCCATAGTCTATGTTCTTGTTCCAAACGCTCTTCTGCTACAATGGCAGTTTTGAAGGCTTTGTTCTATTACTTATAATTTGTCACAAAAAGCACAAGGCAGTGAGCTTAGTTTTGCGTAGGAGAAAGGCAATTATCTCGCATATTTTCCGGAAAACCTCTAAAATAATCTTTAAAAGTTTATGCCTTGTTTTATGAAACTTAAAATACAGAGTACAGGAGTGTATTATTCTCTAACAAAACTCATTTTTGGAAGGTTTTGCAAATATATCATCATGAACAGTTTTCCTTTTTAAAAAAAGATTCAGGAATTGTATTCATCCACATTAAATTTTCTTGTACTTCTTCAAACTCAGGAGAAGTTGCAAACATTATTTTTTTTATCAATGCTACTTCTATTGCAGGAGGTAATTTCTTAGGTTTACTGTTAAAGAGACTAGAAATACTGAATGAAACCGAAAAATGCACCCTTAACATTTTGCTACTGAAGCTTCTTGTTGGTTTTTTTTACTGGTTGTCTTTCTCAACATAATCTCAGAATTTCAGTGTTCAGAGCTGCTATCTATACACGGGAAAACAAGTTTTAAAATTCAGGGACAGAGAAAAATAGAAAAATAAAGATAAACAATAGAATTAGACAAACTAGACGTTTCTTTCATTGATGATGCAGGTTTTCTTCCTTTTTTATTTTTTATTTTTTTATTATACTTTAAGTTCTAGGGTACGAGGCCAGGGAGAAGGAGAAGCCACCCTGAGGAAGGTGCGGAATGTCGCGTGGAGCCCGGCTCTCTGCCTTTGAAGCAGGATTTTCATGCACTCGCCAGCATGGCTGGCTTTTCAGACTGGCCAGATTTAACTCGGGACCGTTGTATAGAGGATCAGGTTTGAGCCTGCCTTCCAAAGAAAGCAGAAGTCTCCAGAAACAAAGCCTCCCAGATCCAGCTTACAGGCTGATGGCTGTGAAGGAAGAATTTGAAGGGCAATTAAGTGTGCTGTGAAACATAGCAAGAAAGGCATTAATTCCTCACTCTCTTGCTCGTTAATCTACTTTTGTGCTGACTTTTCACTAGTACAGTTGGGGTGCCCTTGTCCACAGCGGCGTTTCTAGAGGGCTTCTAGGCATCATCCCCACAGATTTTCTAAGCGTCATATTTAGGTAGATGATATCATTTCAGAGCCTTTGATATCTTTGGGGATTTTTTTATTCAAATGAACTGAAGTGTTAGTTTTAAGGGCTTTTTCCATGCTGAAAATGCCTCTGTTTTTGGGTACCCACCCAACTTCCCCAGAAAGTCATCCAAATAAAGTGAGACCCCATGGAAAGTAGGGAGGAAATGAGAGGGGGTGCGGGGTAGCGGTCAGAGAAGAGGAGGCTACGCACAGCACGGAAAGGGAAGGCAGCAGCCACATGGACCTGGGCCCACGGCTGGGCCCTGAAGCCTGCAGACCGTCGTCTCTTCCCCTTTCACTTTCTGGGTTTCATTTCACGTCCAGCAGATGGTGTGAAATTCCGGGTCATCGTAAATGGACAAAGAATATTTTTAAATACTCCAAGGAAAGCCATGGTTATGTTATTTTTTTCAGTGTTATTGGTCACCCTTTCTGGGAAGAATTCTCACTATAAACGTGTAAGTCTCACCGACACCGACAGCCCTGCGTGCCAATTCAGAGGTTCTTGTCTGGCGCCCTCACCCAAAGAAATGTTACACTCTGCAGCTTAATTCCCATCCCAGCTTCGCCGACCACCTCCCGGTGGCGTCTCCATCTGTAACTTCCTTTCCCAGGCTGGACTGCGTCCCTCTAAAATCCACAGTTGAAGTCCGAGCCCAGGCAGCTCAGAATGAGGCTTCACAGTTCTTCCCTGGCACTCGAAGGAGACTGGTCCAAGGAACCCCTCAGGTGTAAACCCATGGATGCCCAAGGCCCTTGTATAGAATGGCATGGTTTTCCATATAACCTGTGCGCCTCCTCCTGTGTGCTTTAAATCAGCTCTGGAATACTTACAGTACCTAATACAGTGTACATGATGTGTCAATAGTTGTTGCTTTGTGTTAATTTTTTATCTGTATTATTTTTATTGTTGTTAGTATGTTCGATCTGCAGCTGGTTGAATCCATAAATGCAGAACCTGGGGATAAGGCGGGAAGTGTATTTGGGCATAGGATTGCTGCAGAGGTGATTCATGGAGATGCGGTCATAGTGGAGTAGGATGGGCCCTAATTCAATATAACTGGTGAATTCATACAAAGAGGAAATTGGACACAGAGGAGAAAACCATGTGATGTGGGAGGCAGAGGTTGCAGGGGTGCAGCTACGAGCCAGGGACCACCAGGGACAGCAGGCAGCTCCAGGAGCTGGGAGAGGCTGGGGTGGACACTTGGAGGCCCCACAGGAGCTGGGAGCTGGGGGAGGCTGGGGCAGACCCTCGGAGGAGCTGGGAGCTGGGGTAGGCTGGGGCAGACCCTCGGAGGAGCTGGGAGCTGGGAGAGACTGGGACAGACCCTCGGAGGCCCCACAGGAGCGGGTCGTGCCCACACCCTGGTCTTGCACTTGGGGGACCTCCGGAGCTGGGAGAGAATCAAACGCTGCTGTGGAAGTCACTCAGTTTGTTGTTACAGCACCTCCTACATCTCCTTAATTTATTTAAATTTAGGCTCTGCTTCCTCTCCTCTAAAATGTGGTGGTTACTCACTATGGTTCCCCCTAATATAGAACATGGTGTAGGAGATCCAGTTTTGATATCATAAGCATTTACCTTTGGGTAAATTTCAGGGTCCAGAGTGCATATGGGTCGCGGGGGCGCAGGGCAGACAGACCCTAAAGTGGGGCTTTTAATGACTGCAAATTAGGGGCAGATTACACAGAAATGTCTAGAATAAGAATGGTAACTTGGGAGTGGTCCTGGTGTTGCCGTGGCGATGGTAAACTGACACGGGATGGGTGGGCACGTCCCGTGGAGAGGTGCTCTTGCCTCTTCCCTATTTCAGCCAGACCTCAGTCCAGTCCAGAGTCCGGGTCCCCACCTCTGGGGTCGAGTCCGGCCTCCTGCCTCTCCAAGGCCTGGCATTGCCACCTTCCACGGGCTCCCGGGGGCATCCCCTGTCTCGACTGTGCATGAGAATGGATGGCTCTGAGTGAGGGAGCCCATGGCAGCTTCTCCTTTCTTGTTTTAACTGAGCCAGTTGCTGAATGATGTACCCAGGAGGCCCTGGTCTGAGAACACAGGGACGCACTAAGCTGGCTCCAAAGAACGGCACGGGGAGAAGCAGTATCGGTGGGAAGACCCCAGAGCCGGGGCCCCTGCAGCGTCTGGAAGATGACTAAGAGGGAGCGTTGGAGATGAAGGAGACCTAGTGGGGTTCCTGTGGAAGGCAGGCAGGGTGCAGGTGGGGTGCAGGCAGGGGGCAGGCAGGGTGCAGGCAGGGGGCAGGCGGGGTGTGGGTGGGGTGCAGGTGAGGTGCAGGCAGGGGGCAGGTGAGGTGCAGGCGGGGTGCAGGCAGGGGCAGTTGGGATACAGTCAGGGGGCAGGCGGGGGACAGGCGGAGTGCAGGCAGTGGGCAGGCAGGGGGCAGGCGGGGTGCAGGCAGGGGGCAGGCAGGGTGCAGGCAGGGGGCAGGTGGGGTGCAGGCATGGGGCAGGTGGGGTGCAGGCAGGGGGCAGGCGGGGTGCAGGCAGGGGGCAGGTGGGGTGCAGGCAGGGGGCAGGCGGGGTGCAGGCAGGGGGCAGGTGGGGTGCAGGCAGGGGGCAGGCGGGGTGCAGGCAGGGGGCAGGTGGGGTGCAGGCATGGGGCAGATGGGGTGCAGGCAGTAGGCAGGTGGGGTGCAGGCAGGGGGCAGGTGGGGTGCAGGCAGGGGGTGGTTAGGGTGCAGTCAGGGGCAGGCGGGGAGCAGTTGGGGTGCAGTCAGGGGGCAGGCGGGGTGCTGATATCACCGGGAATGGTGGAGGCAGAGGAGGCCCAGGAGACATCTCAGACATCGAGGGTGGAGTCCTTGCTAAACTGACTTTGCAGGGATTTTTGGCAAAACTGGATTTTACAAGGAAGCGCACGGATGGCCTAGGAGAAGGTCTAGGAGCCTGGCCACTGCTTACTCATGCAGAGACAGTCAGGGCCACGCCTCGATGAGTTCTCCAGCTGGGCTTGACATTGTGCTAAATTCCTAGCAGTGCCACGGCTGGTGATTAGTTACTTGATAAGGAAGAAAGTGATGCTACTAGCTCGGTTCCTGTTGCTTACAGTGGGTGATCTGGGCAGGTTCTTGGGCGCCTGAGGTGGGCAGTGGTGGGCGTGAGCCTGTGGGGTTGAGTGCAGGGACCCCCAGTGTACACAGAGGCACCACGCAGACAGCACGCCTGGGCATGGGTGTGAGGCAGAGATATTTACGCCGTGTGAGAGTCTAGAGTCAGAAACGCTGGTTGAAATAAAAGCCTTGCATCCCAGACCAGCACTCGGACAGGATGACCCTCAACAAGTGTCTTTAATGTTTATTACAGAAAAAGCAGGCGTGACCAAAAGTAGAGAGAAAAGTACAAAAAAATTCACGCATACTCATCACCCAGCGTCATAATTACCATCTTATAGCCGCCTCCTTCGACTCTACTCCTACCTAATTCTGCTCCAAAGCCTCCTGTGTTATTTTAATAAAATCTCACACAGTATTGTTTCATCCATCAACGTTATGGTACGCATCTCTAAAAGTAAAACACTCATTCACACACACACACAGAGAACCTCGGAGATGTAGTACCTACACTACCACCAACAATATGATCACTTAAAGACACTGTTTAAGATTCTGTTGCAGTTCTTTTTGTCCTTAGAATGTATCCCAGTAGGGATGCCACAGTTAAATTACTGACTGTTAAAGTCACTGGAAAAGGCCTTCTCTCTGTGTGTGGTGGTGACTAACTCAATACATACACATGCTCATCTGTTTCATTTTGCTTTTGATTTTTAGGACTTTTAAAACTTAATCATGTTTGATAATTATGCACAATCTTTACATAGTTCCAAGGTCAAATAATGGATTTGGTTTTTGATTTAAGGAGGCGCGGCTGGGCTCGCAGGCTGTGTCCCTGCTGGCCTGAGAATGAGTGGGGCCTCCGGAAACCTCGCCCCTTCCCAGCACTGTCTACACAGCAGGGTGTTCTGAGAGAAGTCCAGCCTCTGCTTTCGACCTCTCTACCCTATTTCCACCACCCCCTGTAAGTAATCACCTTGAAATTCTACGTTATGGTTTAATTCTTTCACTGGGTTTTTAGTATAAAACAAATATATCTGCATTGGTCTGCGTAGCTGCCTCCCCTCTCGTGTAAATGGCAGCAGATTGGGCATCCTCCGCTGTGTCCAATGTGTGAATAAATACAGCATCTTCACACATCCCCTCCTGATGGATATGAGGGTGGTTTACAGGTGTGGGTTCTTTGTTTTGGCTTTTTGTTCTGCTTTTAGTGTTTTGCTGTTACAGATAGTGTGACAAATAAGCCATGCCTATGGCACTTTTATTTTTGCCAGTCTATCTTCGAAACAGATTCTTAGAAACAGGGCATGGGATTTTCCAAGAACCTGCCTCATTCACTCCACAGTGGTTGTGCCATTTCGCCATAAGCAATGTGTGAGCAAACAGAATATGTTTCATGTGTTTAAATTTGTATCTGATAGATGAAAAATGAGATCTTGGTATGGTTTCATCAAATATTTGTTAAATAAATGTTCATTAAACGTTTCCAAAGAATGGAACAGGGTCTCCAGGCTGCTGAGCAATGGTCTAGTCTAGAGGCCAGAAGTCAAATTGAACTTGCACAAAAAAGGGAAGTTTAATATACACGATGGCTACTTGAATCAATGAATGAGTGAATGCTTCAGTGACTGAATGGGTGTTGCAACAAAAATCAGTGAGGGCCACGGTGTGTTGGCTGCAGATCCAATGAGCCGGCATTCACTCTCAGAGTCTGGGAGGGCCCGGGGAATGCCATCAGCACTATGGCCCAGGCAGACCACCTGTGCACACCACTGCGCTCCAGCCCTCTTCTTCTTTAAGCTCTATTTTATTTTTAATTGACACATAATCATTGTACTTATTTATGGGGTACAGTGTGATGCTTCAATCCATGCAAACGTTGTGTAATGATCAGTCAGGATAATTAGCTTATGCATCATCTCAAACATTTATTATATCTTTGTGGCGTGAATATCCAAAATCCTCTCTTCTAGTTATTTTGAAACGTACAACACAATATTATTAACTATAGTCACCCTACCATGCAACAGATGAATGAACAAAAAACATGTGGTCTGTATACCCAGTGGAATACTATTCAGCCATAAAAAAGGATGAAATCCTATTTTTTTGCAACATAGATATAACTGGTGGACATTGAGTTAAGTGACACAATCCCCCTTTTTAATCATGATTTTCAGTTGCATTTCTATAATGGTTAACGGACAGCTAATTCGTGCCAGTCACTGGGGATCTACCTGCTCTGACTTTTGAATTAATAGGAAGTTTTCTGAAAATCATTCTTTTTATATTGAGCTGATTAGAGGAGTCTTGGTTTAAAAAACTTAAGGGAATGGTGTGAGGCTTTGACTATATTTGCCCCCCTATTTGCTTTAGGGAAAGGAACCTGGATTAGGTGGGTCCTTGGGAAATTTTCATACCTGAGATTCCAATTTGACAGGTGCCGGTGATTAGGCAGCGGTTTCCTTGTTAGAAGCAACTTTGAAGGACGGACACTGGATCCTGAAACGTTTTCCCCTGTGGCTGCACGACTCACCTCCCACAGCACCTGCAGCCATGTCCACCTGGCACCTGCTCCATTCCAGGGTGGGAGCAGGGCAGCAGGAGGTCAAGTCTGAGAATCACTTTACCCAGCAACACATCTTTAGCCAGGGGAGAAATGCAGAGAAAACAGCCGGTCAGGTCCATGACCATTCGCAGGTGAATGTCTGTAGCTTTGAGTGCTCCCTGGCACGGAGGCACCCTCAACACCAGCCAGCGACCTCTTTCACAGCACCACACTCATGTGGATTCAGGGGAAACAGAAGGTGCTGTTATTTTGCTGCTTGAGAAGGGCTGACGTTTTCCTTCCAATCATTAGCCCTTCCTGGATAGCACAAGGGAAATGTGCCCACACATCCCTCAACAGCAGTGTGCGATGTGTGTAAATATAATAGCATTAACTGGAATTTGATCTCAAATGAATGACGCCATCAAGGTTGACATAAGGCGCTCCTGCCTCATGTCAGTCACTGCCCCCTGCAGGTGTGGGGCACCTGCCAACAATGACCTCAGTCCTGCCGGGCCCTGCGGCTGCCACCACCCACTGTGTCTGATGGGAATGTCCTAGACGGAGCCTCCCTCATGGCACATCATCCATTGCCTCGCCCCACATGTGCCACAGACTGCATTCGGCCCCAAAGACCACAGAGCAGGACGAAAGACCGCCGCTCCTGCCTTCCTTGCCTGGCCACAGCCAGCCAGGGGCTTCAGGGCCACTGCGATGGCGGGGCTGGGTTCCATCAGGCTCTCCTCGCAGGCCCTGCCATTGCTTTCTCCATGCCTCCTTTCCCCGTGCAGACGAGGGCGAGGTGGGGTCCAGGCTCATGCCCTGCGTGCGCCCACACTGTCACATTCTGGATGCAACCTCCGCACTTCCGCGGGGTATTTCTGAGCTCCCATGAAAAGATGGGCACAGGTGTGCCTTCCTTAGCTCCACAGGGAGATGGGCCCATGGGCTCACGGACTCAGTGGCAGAGCTGGGACTTAGCCCTGGTGGGCTGACTCAGGCACCTGTGGTCTGAGCTCCTTCCCCAAATACACACCTGATCCAAACATGTAGACATATAACCCCAGTCCTCACCTTCACCAGCACTCCGTTTAAACCCCTCTGTGCAGAAGATTCTCCAATGTCCACAGAGTTTAACTTAATTGCATTGTTCCTGAGTCAGCTGCACAAATAAAGTAAAAGATAAAATCAAGTTCTGCAGAGCTGAGGCCTGTAGGAGGCCATCAGAGAGCCCAGAAACAGGACCAAGGGCACTGTGCACAGAGCTCAAAGGAACTGTTTCACTCAATTACCAATGGGGGTTTCAGATACCTGAGATACACACTTACCTCTCCATTACATACAGCTGTCTTTTGGCCTGCCCAGTGTTCCAGCAGATCCTGAAGGAGAGGAAGGAAGGGAAAGGCGAAGGCTGGAGGGGAGGAGGGGGATGGTGAGGGCTGGAGGGGAGGAGGGGGATGGTGAGGGCTGGAGGAGGGAGAGAGATGGTGAGGGCTGGAGGAGGGAGAGAGATGGTGAGAGCTGGAGGGGAGGAGGGAGATGGTGAGGGCTGGAAGGGAGGAGGGAGATGGGGAGACCTGGAGGGGAGGAGGGAGATGGTGAGAACTGGGGGCGGGGAGAGAGATGGTGAGGGCTGGAGGGGAGGAGGGACATGGGAAGAGATGAAGAGAGGAGGGAGATGGGGAGGCCTGGAGGGGAGGAGGGAGATGGGGAGGGCTGGAGGAGAGGTGGGTTATGGTGAGGGCTGGAGGGGCGAAGGGAGATGGTCAGGGCTGGAGAGGAGGGAGATGGAGAGGGCTGAAGGGGGGAGGGAGGGAGATGGTCAGGGCTGGAGAGGAGGGAGATGGAGAGGGCTGAAGGGGGGAGGGAGGGAGATGGTCAGGGCTGGAGAGGAGGGAGATGGAGAGGGCTGAAGGGGGGAGGGAGGGAGATGGTCAGGGCTGGAGAGGAGGGAGATGGAGAGGGCTGAAGGGGGGAGGGAGGGAGATGGTCAGGGCTGGAGAGGAGGGAGATGGAGAGGGCTGAAGGGGGGAGGGAGGGAGATGGTCAGGGCTGGAGAGGAGGGAAGTGGGGGGGACTGGAGGAGGGAGGGAGATGGGGAGGGCTGGAGGGGAGAAGGGAGATGGTGAGGGCTGGAGTGGGGAGGGAGATGGGGAGGGCTGGAAGGGAGGAGGGAGGGAGATGGTCAGGGTTGGAGAGGAGGAAAATGGAGAGAGCTGAAGGGGGGCAGGGAGGGAGATGGTGAGGGCTGGAGTGGGGAGGGAGATGGAGAGGGCTGAGCAGGAAGCACTGAGCTGTGCTCCTCTCCTGCCTTCTCTGTACCTTGCTGGGTGTCTGACTGTGGAGTCTCAAGGCACCCTAGCTCTTCTCTGGTGGGGCTGATTTTTCCATCCCCGTTTTGTGAATAGGGAAACACCAGTGACCAGTGTCAGGTGGGCCTTGTTCCTTTCAGGAGCGGGAGAAAAAGAGCTCCTTACCCATGTGTCATTTCTCCTATTGCAATGTTCAAAGAAAAAAAGGCATGTTCTCATCTCCACCGCCACCAGAACCCATTAACAGGTCCGTTCTGGTTGATTTCTGGAGTCTGGCTTCCAATGCCATTGTTTTTCACTCTTATTTCAAGTACATGCAGTTTTTGAGAGGCGGGGCTGATGAAGTCAACATTCAAATCTGTACAAATCTCCCAGTTTCCAGGTTATCTGCAGAGAAAAACCGAGTGGCACGCCAGCGGGATCCTTGGAATGGCAGCGGATCCCCTGCACGGGTACATCCACTGCTTGCTGTCAGGAGCCGAGGTCCGGGTGCTCCAGGGCCTGCAGGCCCTTCGGAGCAGGAATCTGACTCCCTCCTGGGGTCTCAAGGACGCCTTGGCCGGGCGATGGGCCTCCCCCACGCATTGTGTCCAGGAGGTTCTGTTCAGAGCGTGTGCTTCGAAGCTCACGCTGAGGCTAAGGTGATGAATCCGCTTATTTCTAGGGCCCTGCTGGGGGAGAACGAGGCCCCTTCCCGGGTGTCAGGGAATGCAAGCCTTCACAGCTGACACCACAGTGCCTTCGAGATGGAATCAGCGTCCCAGTGTGGGTGCCCAGGGGATTGTGGGCCGGGGGATGAGGGAGTGGAGGACCCCAGGACCTGGAGGAACCGTTCTCAGCTGGGTCCTGAAGTCTCTGCAGAGTTGGTCAGGTGGAGGACAGGATTCCAGGTGGAAGAGGATGGTACAAGCCGAGGCAACGGGCTGAGAAAACACATGGCGTGAAAGGAGCAGGAGACATTTCTGGAAAGAGAAAATGCAAGCAGGGAAGTTCCTGCTGAACCCACGGCCTCGCTGGCCGCACTGAGAGCGTCTGGTCCACAGTGGCAGGAGAGACAAACGATTGTAGGAGAAAAATCTGGGTTTTTTTAATTGTGTTATTTTTTTACATTAAAATTACTGGGAGAGAAAAGTAATGGATATCCTTTAAAATATTGGGAAAAATACAGAAAAGTACATAAAGAAAGTTACTCATGCTTATGTCACTTTTGAGCTCCCTCAAGTCCCCAGGCATTAGACGGGGAAGAGGAGGGGCGAGGCCACAGAGCAGGGAGAGCATTGAAAATACCCACAATGAGGGTGCACGACCAACCATTGACCTATGGGCCCTTGTCAGAGCTTCGCCTCCTGAAGCTAATTGTTCATCCAAGTGATTCTGTCAAAATTATATGCTGTTAGCAAATAAAAATGATTCATAAACATGTATGAGCACCCCAAATCCTGCACTTTCTACTAAGAAACAAGTCCGGCCAATTCTCTCTCTACTTCTGACATGGTGAGAGGTGTCAGAAAGTGACGGGGTGAGTTTGACATTAGAAATGGAGGGCAAATAGGAGAAGAACTGACAAACTGGAGGTGCCCCTTCTTTCTCTGGTCATTGGCCCGTGCACGGAGCTTAGCCCTGAGAAAAGACTGATCCCCAGTGATTTTCCTTTCGTGTCTTCACTAACAACACGGAGACTATTCATGAGATTAGACTGCTGTCAGAGCAAACTGGCATGTTCAGTATCTGCGAATTCTCAGAGAATAGATACTAAGTGTAATGCATCATTTTCATTTCTCTGGAAAATAAAGATATTAGCAAAGAATGACCTGGTGCATGCAGCTGCAGTTTCTCCACTCCAGCAAGTGTGAGTGAGTGTGCTGCTCCCGACCTGCTCCAAGAGGGAAAGCTGAGCTGGAGACCCCGGCAGGTCATAGAGGGTTTCCTATCAGGGTGTCTTGCACACGTGTGTTTGCAGGTGTGCACACATGTGTACACACATGTGCTGATATGCGTGCAAGTGCGTGTTTGCATGTGTGCACATGTGGGTGCATGTGTGTGTTGGTATTCATGCACTTGTTTGTGTCTGAATGTGTGCATGTGTGTGCATGTGTGTTGATATGCATGCACATGTGTGTTTGTGTGTGTTTGCATGTGTGCACGTGTGGGTGCATGTGTGTTGGTATGCATGTGTTTGTGTCTGCACGTGTGCAAGTGTGTGTGCATGTGTGTGTTGCTATGCATGCATATATGTGTTTGTGTGTTTGCATGTGTGCACGTGTGGTGCAGGTGTGTTGCTATGCATGCACGTGCATGTTAGTGTGTGTTTGCACATATGCATGGGTATCTGGGGCTCCCTGACAATATGAGGAAAATTGATGAATTTTTCTGGAAAATACTAATTACCACGGTAACCACCGTGGTCCGCACACTGTGGAAAGCTGAGATGCCAGGACTTTTTTGTGACTGTCATAAATCTTGTCAGTCAGCGCTTCATCTGATTAGGGTGACATTCACACAGCCTCCACGAAGTGGTTAAAAATTGCTATTTCCAGTCACTTAGTTGACTATTTCTCAATAGTCAACGCCACAAGTCAAATTCACGTCTCCACGTTTGACCAAAACATGTAGAATTTGAACTTTGAGAATAAAAAATGAAATCATATGCAAAATATATATTTCAGGGGTGGGATAGAGCCATTTTAGGCATTGAAAACTGCCTGAATCTATAGAACAGCATATAAAACAACTTACTAAATAGAACATAAATAACAAAGAACAATAACCTATCATTTTGTAAAATCGCAGATCTTCTTCACCAGTTTCCTTCTCTTGGCAGCAGAACAACACAAAGTTCAGAGGCCCTCCTCTGCCAGTGGTGTGGGCAAACCCCTCAACCCATTCAGGGCAACCCCATAGCAGCACTGTCTTCTCCCACCAAAAGTGGATTCCTTTTCACCCTGCTGGGTCCCTGTTTCTCCGTTTAAAATTTACAGAACCCTCTGTTAATTGAACTAGTTGCCAAAGAGAAGCAAAGTGCTCGTTCTGGAGCAAACGCCTCATGGGACATGGATGTTGCCAGCCAGGCCCTGGCACCTCCATCATCTTCACAGACAGCGGAGCAGGAGAAAGTCCTTTCCCGAGAGGCACCAAGTTCACTTCATGTTCCCAAGGACGACTGCTCAGAGAGTGGCCACATGGAGCCAGAATAAGAAAATGTGGAAAGTCTTTTGTATGACTTGAAAGAGAAACTGTCACCCAAACTGGAAAAGTTAAAAATAAGAAGGATAAAGGATGATAGAAAGAAAAAAGAGAGAGGAGAGGAGAGGAAGGAAGGAAGGGAGGGAGGGAGAGAGGGAAAGAGAAGAAAGAAAGAAAGAGAGAGAGAGAGAAAGAAAAAGAAAGAAAGAAAGAAAGAAAGAAAGAAAGAAAGAAAGAAAGAAAGAAAGACAAAAAGAAAGAATTAGCTGCAACTTCTCTGCATCCTACTAAAGCGTGATTCAAGTAGGATCCAGACCCGACAGCCAATTACTTCTTTCATCTCTGAATATCTCTAAAACAATAAAAGGCACTGTGTTTGAGTAGCTAGTCAAATCCAGTCCCGAGGTCAGCGCTGTTCTAATTAAAGTGACCTCACCTGAGACAGGAACAGTGTCCGTCTTAAACAAAGCACAGCTGAAAGCAATCCCCAGGACAACTAAAAACATCATGAATTTGGTCTCTAGGTAAGGAAAAGAAAACTTGCTTAGAAGCAAGTCTTTCCCATCTCCTTTCGCCTCTCTTGTGTTTAGTGAGATTTTTGTTGAAAGTCACAAGAAATCCTATTGTCTTCCTCTTTCCTCTCTTTTCCCGCTACAGTTCCAGGAGGCAAGTTTCACCTGACTCAGAATCCATCCCTTTTATAATGGCATTAAAAGATGACTTCAGGGTGTATCATTCCTTGATGGATGGTTTTTTTGTTTTTGTTACGACGAAATATTGCTGAGTTTCCCCTAAATTTGACCGGGATTTGCAACTGGGAAACATATAACTACCAGCCATCGTTATTAGCATTCGTAATTATCACCAGTAATTGTTACCACAGTTTTCTAACAATTACCGCTTTGAGCAATAGAATCCGAGGACAGTGCCATTCATTTAGCAAAGCAGTGTGGAGTTTCCATTTAACCAGACTGTCCAAGCATGAGCAGAAATGAAAACCAGAAATGCTAAATCTATATTTAAATGCAGACAAAAATCCTGTGACAAAGTCGTTCTTTCCCAGCTCAAATCAAAATTTTAAACAGTTTACCTCCTTTATGTCTTCCCAAGAGTTTTATGCAACAAACTTTCAGTGTCATGACTAATAGCGGCTCTTGCCAAGGCTGACTCTTAAAGCCTCTCCTCCGCCTTGTGATCTGCAGCGCACGTCTTATTATGGGGTGCATTATGCAGACGCCAGCCCTGTGATGGGACAGGCAACCCCGCTGTGAGAATGCCTATCAGAGCTTCTTTTAAGGCCCTTTCTCAATTGTCAGCAAAGTATTTTTTAAGGTTAAAAGGTGTAAAATTATTCTGAAATGCTTTTCTGACCTGTCGCCTATCACTGCAAAGAGCTATAGTTCATTTTTTTTTCTAAAATTGTATTTTTTGAAATGCAGTAATATTATAAGAATAAGCTTCATATGAGGAAAATAGTCTCCTGAAATGTTCGTGGTATTTTTTTTTGCATGCCTTCTTCTCCAATGACTGCAATACTAATCATTGTTTTATGCTTAGAATTATAATTTTGATGCAATTTTTCTTATACCAAGCCACCATTTCTGTGGTGAAATTAATATAAATGACCATTACTTTTTGCATCTCTTTCTTTTTAAAAAACAATTCCTGTTACAGTGGTTGCTTCATATTCCATAATGTCAAAGTCAAATTCACCACTGTCATGAGATGTAATCTCATTATTGAGAGGCGTACAGGCCGACGAGCTGTCATTCTCAACGCCGCACCTGCACGTTGATTGAAACCACCCTGGAAGTCAGCGGGAAAACCAGCAGACGGTTTGGCCTTCCTGCCCTCATCTGTTTCGCAGCTCCCGAGACTTGCTTGGCCAGAGAAGTTGCAAGCGTGGCAGATAACGTAGGGTCAGCAATCCCATCATTGTAGATGCCTGGCCTGTGAGGCCCCCAGCTGCTGTTTTCTATAGGGTGGAATTCTGTTATTTTGCACTGTTTATGCTCCAATAAAATGTCTGGTAGGTTTTGGAATCTATTTTTGGGTCCCAGGTATAAGGAAAATCAGTGGAGAAGCTCGCCCCAGGGAGGACAGCAGGCCTGCCTCACTCAGCTTGCAGCAGGCATGAAGACGGCACCAGGGCCAATGTGAGGGGAGCTAACGTGGAAGAGAACTTGCTGTATTTCCGTCTGCCCCCTTCATGCACATCAAACAACCTGCGTCAGAATTGGGCTTCCTTTTGTTGCTTTTTGCTTTTGCACTGCTCCTGCAAAACGAATCTTCCTTCCTTGTGCAGCGTTCAGGGACTAGGTAGAAGATGCTCTCTGAACTTGTGACATGTGCCTCGCTAGAGCACGCCGTCTGATGACGCTCTGTGGATGTTCCTGTCTTGGTTCAGGGACTAGGTAGAAGACGCTCTCTGAACTTGTGACGTGTGCCTCGCTAGAAAACGCCGTCTGATGACGCTCCGTGGATGTTCCTGTCTTTCTCATTGATGGAGCGGTTCCCTTTAGCTGCATTTGCAGTCATGAGGGATCATGACCTTATGCTTGTTCACTAGTTAGCAGTAGAAAACCACCTGGCATTTTACAGAAAAGCAACAGGTAAATTTACCTTTAGAGCCAATGCTCTTTGAAATCCAAGGCATTTTATGAGCCCTAAATTCTCTGACAAGAGACAGAGGGACAGGGTACAGCACACTTTACCCGACAACCTGTGTTCTTTCCTCTCTCCTTTGTCCTCCATCTTCTAAAATGAGCATGGGAGAGGAAGATAACCCTTTCCCTACATTCCGTTCTCCAACTTCTGTGTCATTCTTCTTACTGAGAGGTGACAGCGTGCTGGCAGTCCTCAGAGCCCTCGCTTGCTCTCGGCACCTCCCCTGCCTGGGCTCCCACTTTGTGGCATTTGAGGAGCCCTTCAGCCCCCCACGGCACTGTGGGAGCCCCTTTCTGGGCTGGCCAAGGCAGGAGCCCACTCCCTCAGCTTGCAGGGAGGTGTGGAGGGAGAGGCGCGAGCGGGAACCAGGGCTGCGTGCGGCGCTTGCGGGCCAGCTGGAGTTCCGGGTGGGCGTGGGCTTGGCGGGCCCCGCACTCGGAGCAGCCAGTCAGCCCTGCTGGCCCCGGGCAATGAGGGACTTAGCACCCGGGCCAGTGGCTGCGGAGGGTGTACTGGGTCCCCCAGCAGTGCCAGCCCACCGGCGCTGCGCTCGATTTCTCGTCAGGCCTTAGCTGCCTTCCCGCGGGGCAGGGCTCGGGACCTGCAGCCCGCCATGCCTGAGCCTCCCACCCACTCCATGGGCTCCTGTGCAGCCCGAGCCTCCCCGACGAGCACTACCCCCTGCTCCACGGCACCCAGTCCCAACGACCACCCAAGGGCTGAGGAATGCGAGCGCACGGCGCAGGACTGGCAGGCAGCTCCACCTGCAGCCTCGGTGTGGGATCCACTAGGTGAAGCCAGCTGGGCTCCTGAGTCTGGTGGGGACGTGGAGAGTCTTTATATGTAGCTCAGGGATTGTAAATACACCAATCAGCACCCTGTGTTTAGCTCAAGGTTTGTGAGTGCACCAATCGACACTCTGTATCTAGCTGCTCTGGTGGGGCCTTGGAGAACCTGTGTGTCCAAACTCTGTATCTAACTAATCTGATGGGGACGTGGAGAACCTTTGTGTCTAGCTCAGGGATTGTAAACGCACCAATCAGCACCCTGACAAAACAGGCCACTGGGCTCTACGAATCAGTAGGATGTGGGTGGGGCCAGATAAGAGAATAAAAAGCAGGCTGCCCGAGCCAGCATTGGCAACCCGCTCGGGTCCTCTTCCACTTTGTGGAAGCGTTGTTCTTTCGCTCTTTGCAATAAATCTTGCTACTGCTCACTCTTTGGGTCCACGCTGCTTTTATGAGCTGTAAGACTCACCGCGAAGATCTGCAGCTTCACTCCTGAGCCCAGCGAGACCAAGAGCCCACCGGGAGCAACGAACAACTCCAGACACGCTGCCTTAAGAGCTGTAACACTCACCGCGAAGGTCTGCAGCTTCACTCCTGAGCCAGTGAGACCATGAACCCACCAGAAGGAAGAAACTCCGAACACATCTGAACATCAGAAGGGACAGACTCCAGACGCGCCACCCTAAGAGCTGTAACACTCACCACAAGGGTCCGCGGCTTCATTCTTGAAGTCAGTGAGACCAAGAACCCACCAATTCTGGACACATTACCAGTATGGGACTGCATGTGTGAACCAAATAAAAGACTCCACATCAAAGGAAGTCGTGGGAAACACTGCCAGGATCAGGGCTGAGACAAGAGGAGACTCTGGGGAGTGGGGCACAGTAGCCACACCGCCCAGAGGACGTGGTGGGCTTGGTGTCACCGAAGCTGGGGCGGATTTGCAGGAAGCTAAGGAAGCTTGAGCCCACGCGTCCATCGGGCCGAGGCCGTGTGCACACAGCCCCATGGGATTCCACAAGGCACAAAAGTGTGGCAGCCGTAATGGATAGGGTCTGTTTCTTCCCACCCAGTCCCCCACCCCCATGCCACTTCCCCGTGCCAGGTGAGGACCACAGGGCTGCTGGCACATCTGGGGCCCAGCCATGGTGACATGGCTTCGAAGATTCACACCACTTAGATTGGCAGGATATTCTGTGAGGGCCACGATAAATTCCGAGATGCATTGATGGCAGATTGGTGATGAGAGTCGGCAACTGAAGGAATAATTGGGATTCCTCACAGAATGGGAACATTTTAAATTTCCTGAAAACTTACAGCTCTTTACAGGAAAGAAACTCGACAGAGGTTCTCCCCAAATTTGCTAACAATCTTTAAAAAATTTAGGAGATGTTCCAAGAGCTGGTTGTAAAACTAAAAGAAAGTTTTCTAAAGGATCAATCATTAAACACAAATTCTGATCCACCAGAAGGAGTAGGCTAATTTGTATTTTTCTCCCTGTAGGAAATATCAGGGTCTTCAGCCAAACAGTGGGGAAAGGGTGTTAGAGCGGGTCAGACACTTCATACCATCCCCCTGATTTCATGGTGTCTTAGGTATTTATCAGTGTTTCAAAATTTATAAATTGCTATGATGTCTTTTCTCGCTCTAAACAAATGCCATTTTCATACCCACTTGGGTCTCACTTTGCTTTCTTTTTCCTAAAGAGAACTCTGGAGTCATGGAAACTTCAGCTCTCAGTCTGGCTCTGCCCACCTCATGCTAATCAGTTTTACACCCAAAGATCACTTTTTTTTTTTTTTTTTTTTTTTTTTTTTGGGATGGAGTCTCGCTCCGTCACCCAGGCTAGAGTACAGTGGTGTGAACTCTGCTCACTGCAACCTCTGCCTTCCAGGTTCAAGCATTTCTCATGTCTCAGCCTCCCGAGTAGCTGCAATTACAGGCTCCCACCACTACGCCGGGCTAATTTTTATACTTTTAGTAGAGATGGGGTTTCACTATGGTGGCCAGGCTGGTCTCGAACTCCTGACCTCAGGTTATCCACCCACCTTGGCCTCCCAAAGTGCTGGGAATACAGGCGTGAGCCACCATGCTGGGTCTCCAAAGAGCACTTCTAATATGACTTGAAACCCTCACTCTTCCTTCCGTGGGTAAAAATAAAGGCGATTTTGTTCTTCTCTGTGTTAACTTGGAGTCTCACTCTGTTTAATGGGTGTCCGACACCACCAACGCTCTGGCCATTGTTCTGAAGGAAAATAAATAAAACTTCTCTATGACTTGTTAAAAACAAAGATCAAATTTTGCCAATGTAAAAAAATGTTACTCAGTGTTTTTTTTAAACATTTAGCGTGCTATGTAATTCTGTTTTTTTCACTTCTCTAATTCAAACACTTTGTGTCTGTTGACAGGTCACTGCTCATTAGCACCCAACTTGCCACTTTCATGGAACATTGCTGGAGGGGGTGTATTTGTGTATATGTGTGTGTGTGTGTGTGCATGTTTATGCATGTACATATATGTGTGCATATGCGTATATGTGTGTGTATGTGTGTGTGCTTCTGGGATATGCGTATATGTGTGTGTATGTGTGTGTGCTTCTGGGAGACCGAGTCTGTGTGCCAAGGCTAGCATCTTCTTAAGATTCCACTGTTATGCGTCTTATGGGTGTGTTTTTCTGTGTATGTATGTATGCTTATATGTGTTTATATGCATGTGTATATGCATGTATGTGTTGTGTGTGTTCTTTATGTGTCTGTATGTGTGTTGCGTATACATGTGTTTGTGTGTGTGTGTGTATGGTTTTGTCTTATACTCATAACGCACATTTATTTATTTATTTATTTATTTTTATTTTTTATTTTATACTATACAGGGTCTCACTCTGTCACCCAGGCTGGAGTGCAGTGGCAAGATCACAGCTCACTATAGCCTCAACTTACCAAGGTCAAGTGATTCTCCCATCTCCGCCTTTCAAGCAGTTGGGACTAAAGGCACTCGCCACCACACTTGGCTTTTTTTTTTTGTTTGTTTGTTTGCATTTGTGTAGTAGTACTGGGGTTTCGCCATGTTGCCCGGCTGGTATTGAACTCCTGGACTCAAGAGATCTGCCTGCCTCTGCCTCCCAAAGCGCTGGGATTACAGGCATGTACCACCACACCCTGCCCAAGCCCATTCATTTATAAGCCCTGGCTGCGACATGTTCTCTTAACACAAAGTTGCTGCTTCCAATTCTGATGTATAACGAAGGAGTCATAAAAAGACACTCGACTCGGCACACAAGGACAAGCCCTCCCAGTCACCAGACCACACGACCTGGAAGACTTCACTTCCCTCCAGGGTCCTCATTTACAGTGTGGTGACCTCATTACCCACCTCCCAGGATAGTTCATCATTAATAAATGAGCCGTCGCTAGAATGCCAAGTGCTCCCCACCTGCAGGGGCGCTCCTGTCACCAAGGCCTGAGCTCTGGAGCATTTGTACATTTCATGTGTGGCTGCATATGGCAGAAGAATGTGAGAATTAGCACACAATCTTCCAAACCAGACCTAAATATGTTTGCGTGTGGTGTCACACAGTTATGTCTTTTAAGGTCTCAATTTCCTTCTTTGAGAAATGACGAAAATCACAGAGTCTGCCCCTCATGGTTGTTGTGAGGATTTAACATGATCTTGGACACAAAGTGCTCAGCACAGCACCTGGCACACGGCGACTGCTCAAAGGTGCTGACTGGTGTCCTCTGGTCATAAGTCACATGAGCATTTGGAAACACTGTGTTCCATTCATTGATCTACCACCCTGGAAAAAGATTTAAAAATCAATCAACAAACTGTTCCTGAAAACTTACCATGGCTTGGCCCTGTACTGGAAGCCAATAAGACGCACGAGGCGAGGCCCTTGGGCAGTGGCTCAGGCTGTGCAGCACCCAGGCGAACTCCAACCGATGTGGCCCCAGGGACTCATGGGGTTAGATTGCAAATGGCAGATCCAAAATCATTTTGTATGTTTTTGGAGGAAACATTTGTCCCTGAGATCATCACTAAAGTGGAATTTCATCAACGGTAATTGCTGGGTACGTCCTTGATAGACCAGCAATGCTCATGCGTGGGTAGCCATTGTCCTGTGTATACAGCATGTGCAGGACTCTTACTTGCTCCCTCCTACTCAGTCTTCATTGAGAGGGAAGAAAGCGCCCTTGGAGAAGGCCAGATTTGCAGCCAGATGCGTGTGAGGCATGGCTGGGGACCCAGGCATGGCCGTGTTGGGATGGCCTGGAGGGAAGTGCCCAGGAGAATGACAAGAGTCACTTCATCACTGTCACAGCCAGGAAGTCTCCCTGACCCCACGGCATGCAGCATCCCACTATCATGGTGATACATCTCTGCTGGTTACATATGTACCTCCCCCACAGTCTTTGATCCTGAATGCACAGCTCTCCCCTAATCACTAGCCAAGAGGACTCTGCCTGCCTGGTGCTTGAACAATGTAAGCAATTTTCCAGACACACTGCCCTCTGAAATAATTGAATGTCACATGAAAAGGCCAGGATGTGTTGATGAGGGCCCAAGTCAACCCCACCATGGCCAGCAGAATAACGCATGGTTATCTTGGTGACATCTACCCTGACGTGTCAGTCATCTGCACCCATAAGCCAGCACTGGGCGGCTGAAATACAGACCATGGATGATCCTGTCTGGCCGTTCCCACTACAAACAAGGGACACACGCCCTTTGCGTAGTATCATCAGAGTCCTTTGCTAAAGCCATAATTGCCTTAAATAGGAACTGGCAGAAGTGAGGACACATGAAATATGATTTGAGAAGGTGCCTGGGTTGGGGCCTTACTTGGGGAGAAGAAGTTGAGTTCTAGATGCTTTAGTGACTTCTGAGTCTGTGTCAGTGTCAGCGCATTGTCCTTCTCCACTCACGGAAGCTCACAGGCCCTAAACTAAGCTCAGGTGCTGCTGTCCATCCAAACCCTCCTCACTCCTCTCCTCCTCCTGCCCCTTTGGTCTGACCCAGATGCGCTCACAGCATCTTGCCTCACCCTATCCCTATGGATCCTAGGACTGTGAGTGAAACGCCAGTGGCATCTGAAAGCATTTAACATAGAAGCTAGAGCTGCACAGCCGGCCTCGATTCACACAGCACAGGCTGCTCCGTGGGGTCACACAGGGCCCTCGTGATAAGAATACAACCAACAACGGCATGGTCACCACACTGTATCAGGAGGGAATGACTCAACGGTGACTTCCGAGGGTTTGCGGAGGGAGCTTAAACCATTTCCCAGGAAGGGGGTCGATCGTGATCCCAATGACACAATCCCGAACTCCATAATCCCGAATGTTGACATCCCGGAAGATCAAAATCTCAACAAGGTACTTCTGGAAAAAATCATTTTAAATTATTTAAGACAATACTTATTACATTTTAAAAGGGGATTTATAAAACATGACAGAACACTTGATGCAATGAAACGGCCCCTAAGAACATGCATATTTTTGCGAGCACAAACGCTCAGGTATCTAAGGACTGTTGCCTGAGTACAACAGCTATGAGCAGACGAACCGGATTCATGAAAAAATAGGTGTAAAAGGGAAATGTGTAAACAACGTCACTGTCATTGGTCACTATGTGCACCCAGCTTTATCCTCCAGTCACCTGAAATACTGTGGCCAAGAGCCTCAGCCTTTGACAAGACCCATAAAAAACGAGATGGGTCATCTCCACACATGCGGTCACCCAAGGAGCTGAGATCTCGAGAAACTTTATCCTTCACAAACACAGATGCACAAAAAGGACATCTCTTCATTTACGGAGGAAGTTTCAGTGTTTCTGTGTACACACACACACACAGACACACACACACAGACACACAATGCTTACACACAAATTCAAGGTTATGATCACGCACTTTCGTGGAGTCAAATTTGCAAAAGATGCATAAAACAAAACTTTCTAAAAGTCTCCACACAATTTACACCTCCGGTATTGAAGTGATGTGAAGGTGAAATACACAGCATGGCAAATTGTAAGAAATAATGCTGACAATTTAAAATGGTGGGAGAAACTAAAAAGAAAATTCAACCTATGGAAAATCATATCACAGGGATGGACTATTGGCGATTGCACACAGGTCGGAGTCCGTAAGAGCTGGCCGGCTTTCACGATCATTAACTACGTTTTGAATTCTGCGTGGTGATGAATTGCTGCTTTTTTTTCTTTCAGGACATGGTTCTCCTCGGAGGATACGTTCACATTCATTTCCATGTGGCTCTGCTCTTCTGGAATTCTTCTGTGATTCAACACACAGCTGCATGAGCCCTCTTCAACCTTCACATCTTCTGTGCCATGCGTCCACATTGTTTTAGGTATGAGGAAATCCATCTGGATGCTTTCATACGCAGACCGTGGATTGGTGGGAACCGCGCTGGCGACAGAACGGCAAAACCGTTGTGTAGGTGTCTTCTTTTTTTTGTTTTCTTTTTTTTTTTCTTTTGAGACGCAGTCTTGCTCTGTCGCCCAGGCTGGAGTGCAGTGGCACAATCTCGGCTCACTGCAAGCTCCGCCTCCCGGGTTCATGCCATTCTCCTGCCTCAGTCTCCCGAGTAGCTGGGACTACAGGCGCCCGCTACCACACCCGGCTAATTTTTTTGTATTTTTAGTAGAGACGGGGTTTCATTGTGTTAGCCAGGGTGGTCTGGATCTCCTGACCTCATGATCCGCCTGCCTCGGCCTCCCAAAGTGCTGGGATTACAGGCGTGAGCCACGGCACCCGGCCTGTGTAGGTGTCTTCTTATCCTACAGTGCACATAATTATTTTTGAACCAGTCGGTAACTTCGCCAGCTTCTTCAGGCAAGTGTGGCTTTAATTCATTAACATCTCCTGGCACGTCATCAGCCAGAAGGAATGTCACTGCAGGCACGTGACGAATTTTTAAACCAAGGATTCTGTCAGTGCTGTATGGCAGGGCCCATCACTCATCTGAATTTCCGCCAAATGCATCTCCTTAAACCATGCTTAATTTCCAGTGAAGACCGTAACAAGGTCATCGTCCCACCTGACATGATGCAACTGTCCTGCGACTGTGGTTTCAGGATTTTAAATGTCAGGATTTTAGACTGTGGGGATTTAGATTTTAAGGATTTTGATTTTCCGGGATTACAGCATTTGGGATTGTTCTTTCAGGATGATGATCCAGGTCCCACAGGAGGTGCCACCAGGCCTGGGCTTCTGCCTTGGAGGGAGCTGGTTTTATGCTACTCTAAGCAGAAAGTGCCTTCTCCCTCAAAATGAGGTAAAAAAAAAAAAAAACCATTTGCCATTGATACGGACCTTAGAGGAAAGCTGTCCCCAGCAGCCCTGCAGACTTGGCGCCCCCGAGACAGGGGCAAAGACCGCAGCATCCTGCAGCTGCCTCAAAGCAGTGAAGTCCTGAAACTTTGAGTGTCAACCTCTGCACCGTGCAAAGGCGACCAGGAAGGACTCCAGAGAGGGCCAGGCTCGGCTGGACACCAGGGCGACGGTCACTACCGGTGTTTTGTGGGGAGAGCCAGTGCTGCCGTCTGCCGCCTCAGGCTGCCCTTGCACCTCCCTGCTCAGACCCGTCACGTGTGAGCTTCCTCACAGAGGCGGCCCCATTGCTGAGGAAGAACCATGAGCATCTCCACCCTGGAACAGTTGCAGAATCCTCCTAAAATCAAGGCCAGAACTTCACAGCCAAAACGCCTTACTTGAAATTTTTAGCTTAATGAAAGGAAACATAGTTGTATGGTAAGTGGTTTGTTTTATTGTATTTTAACGAAACATGTAATAAACATAACTATGTTTTCATTGTTAGACCAAAAGAATCAATCATATATACATATCTTTCTGGGTGAATTTTTCTCTGACAAGATTAGACAGCAGCCACCTAGAATGCCCTTGACATGTGACTTTGGCCTCCGGCTGGAAAGGAGCATTGCTCCTGCAGAAGTTCAAGGGCTCCGTGAGCTTTCCCGAGGGCTCCCCCTACTCCTGAGTTCACGTCATTTCCTTTCGCAACTCCTGGGTCTACCTGCGTGACCAATTTTTGCTAATCAGTTCACCTCTGACCAGATCACTTCTGGCCAATAACTCTACAAGCGTCATCAACCCCAAAATTCTCTGCCTGCTTCACAATTTCCACCTTCCTTCTACCAACGTGCTTTGTATTCGCTTGTGTCTAAGCAACCCTGACCAAAGGCCGTGTGGTTGTGACAGTGACAGCCGAGAGCTACTGCTGTCCAGGGGGAAGGGCATTTGAGTGGACCACACTTTTGTAAGTGGTCAGTCCATAAGTAATCATTTTATGTGTGACAGTATTTACTTCCCTTCACAATCTTCAAGTAACAAGGACTAGGGTAATTGACGTTACACAGTGAGAAATGCGTGCAACCTAGATTGACAGGATCTGCTCATTCAGAACCTAGATTCAGTTGCTGGGAGAGGAAACAGCCAGACATGAGACACTCCCTCTAGAATTACAGAACATGAAAGGCAGGTCTAGCTGCAGAAGAACATGCTCCAAAGGGCAGAGGGCATGAGTTCTGTTTTCCAAACGTCATCAGATGAAATTGGAAATGCTGGGTCACACAGATTACAGAGGACAATTTTCTTTGTGTGGGTTTTTGTTATTGTTGTTTAAATGCAGAGGTTCTCGGAGACCTTTTACACATTAATACAGAGCGTTTAAGGAGACATAGTCTGAACGTTCCCCATTAATTTGACCACAAAATCTTTTGTTGGTGGTATCTCATGATGTTCCCCAGAAACTTGGAAATGCTGAACTAGATACAAACACACAAACCAGTTGGAGAGCACGTAAACATTTGACTGCTGTGTCTGAGGCCAGAAGATAGTATCTGCAGCTTCATTTTAGAAGGACAGAGGGTGGATGAAGACGGCCAGCCATTAAGATGCTGGGTGTCAACCGGGACGACGTGGGGATTACTGCACCATGTGAATACCTCACTGCGCGTGAAACATCAGCCAAATAAAATAATGGCTTAAAGCTGGGACAGGAGCTACTGTGAAGAGCAGAATTGTGTCCCCAGAGTTCCTGCTGTCTGGAGGAATGGAAGTTTTAAAGTTTTAAAGATAAAATGTATTAGGTGTGAATATGAGATCTAGGATGCAAAACCCAACCACATACATCCTGACTGGGGAGTCTTCGCACCAACACTTGTAAAAACGCCTTTAGGTTTCAATCGTCAATCTACTTAAGATAAGCCAACAGGATGACTTACCCATGATCCATAGAATCCTAGGCTGTATTGTCCGAAACGCCCTGCTGGGAGGAGGTGAAGGACCCACGCCACTCTCAAGGAGTCAGACTTCACCAGCAATGTCGCCTTCCATCGTGGGTGGCACCTGGAGAGGAATGCAGACAACTCCAAGCAAGTTCAGAGAAAGACGATCAAGACACCGAGAAGACATGGCATTGCCTCGGGTGAAAGGCAGCGGAAGAGACTGGGTTCCATGAGAAGAGAATATCATTGTCCTCAGATGCTGGGACACCTCTTGTGGGAAGATGAGCCAGTGCTGCTCCTCAAAGCCCAGGGGAGGAGAAGTGCCGTGCCAGCGGGTGAGAGTCGCAGAGATGGCATTCCTGCTCAGCCAGAGGAGGCAGACGCCGGAGGAAGAGGGAAACCTCAGGACAGGCTGTGTTCACCTTTAGCAGGCTCAGACCACGCATCTAAAAAGACTGTTATCCGAAAAGTGTGTGTGCCCTGCGTGTAAGTCATGACGTAATAATAAGATGAGCAGTTGAGAATCTGCACCCTAATCTGGGTGCTGGGCGTTTCCAATACGGAGCACTCTGCGGTTGTCCTTTCCCAGATGTGCCTATCCTGCTGTCACTGCTGCCAGCAATAACCATTGTTCCAAGCTTTTAAAATCATTTTTAATCTCAAGAGCAATCACTGGCTTTACAATAACTAACATACAGGTACATATATATACAGGTATATACAGGATTTAGACCACACACTTATCCCTGGATAACAAATCCTACTCTACATATGCCTCTGCAAGTCACTTTCTTTTACTCAGAAACATTCCCGAGATTGTAATGGTGCACAAAGCTCTCCTGCATTTGCCGAATGCAGTTCCGCTGCAGAACGTGTTGCCACCTCCACCTCCCACCCTTCAGGGGAATTCACAGCTTTCCAGTGGCTCACACATACGTACAGTTTTGTGAACATCCTTGTAAATGTTTCTTGGTGCGTATGTATGAGAACTTCTCAAGGGCATACATTTAGAAATTGCTACGTTGTCAGGGGTACACATACTTAATTCTAAAATCTTCTCCAAAGTGGCTGTACCAATTTGCACACCCAGGAGCAGGGCGTGAGACCACCCACCTGCTCCATGCCCTTGCCAGCATGGGATATTGTCAGCCTCTGTGGGTTTTGCCTGTGTGAAATGGTATCTCATGCTTGCCTTGATTTGCTTTTCAAAGATCTCAGTCAATTTAAGGGTCCTTTCATTGTTTTTATGCCATTTGGATTTGCTTCTTTGTGAATTGGCCGTCTGTATATTTTGCTCATTTTATAACCATTTGGTCTCTTTCTTATTGATTTGTTAAGGCTTCTTTACACCTTTTAGATAGATAATCTTTTGCTGGTTGGTTGTGTTGCAAATATCTTTTCCCAATTTCTGGCTTGTCCTTTTACCCTCTTTTGGTAACTTTTGACAAAAAAAGAAATTTGTTAAATTAAATGTAGTTGATTTTATTAATCTTTTCTTTTATGGTTAGTACTTTCAGTGTTTTGTTTAGGAAACCTTAGATTGTAGAGTTTGGCCTTTGACACCTGAACCTTCCATCCCTCTGGAATAAACTCTTGTTTATGGTGTGAGGTTTTTACTTTCTTCTGTTTTTTTACATGGAGAGAAATTCTATTTCTCGAGGTATTGACCTTTTGTTGAATAGGGCCTCTTTCTCTCGTGATCCTCCTGAGGTCCACAGGTCTCTTTCTGGGTTTGCACCCTTTTGTCTTTTTCTCCCTGTGCATAAGTGTCCCACCGTCTTAACTACTCTAACTTCGTACTGAGTTGGGGGTTGTTGCACTGCATTTGATTGGTGGGGCTGCTAAGCTGGGGCTGCATTTCCCAGAACCCCCACCCCGTACAAGGTCGCGGTGAACTAGGAAGGCAGAGCAGTGGCCGACACCCCACAGGCCCACTGGCCAGGTGTGGTGCCGGACAGACCCTCAGGTGTCGGCTCTGCCCAGCGTCCTCTTCCTCAGGGTCGGCCCTGCTGACAGCAGCCCCAGGCTGGCAACCGGACGCTGCGCTGGGACCTCCGGGAACGATCTCGAGGCACCCTCACCTCCCATGAGCCCCCCAGCAATCCTCGGTGTGCAGCTCTGCAGCTGGTGGCTCCAGCTTCCAGCCCCTCCCAGCTCTGACCTCCACACCTGCTCCGGTGCTGCCGCGGTGCTGACTGGTGACTTTCCTCTGAATCTACAGCTTCTGCTCTGAACCCAAATGCCTCCGTTTCCCCCACAAGTGCACGGTCTTACTGACTGAATAAATTCCTCATCTCACAATATTCACGGAGGTTCTGATTGCACCATGACTAATACCTAAGTCTTGATGTGTGGCTGGGCTGTTCCAAGCCCTCACCATTATGTTTCTTGTTTAGAAACATCTAGGTTCTTCCTGCTCCTGGTCAGTCTCCTCAAATGTCTGTGTTGAGGTATTCATTAGAAATGCATTACATCTATAGAGCCAAGTGACGTCACTGACACCATTGTGATACTGAGTCTTCAAATGGTGGATGTTTATTTAGGTTTTCTTAATGTCACTGAACAGAGTGCTGCAGTTTTCTGCCGTAGCCGCGCATTGCTTGTCGGTTTATTCCCGAGAACTGTGCTATTTAATCCAGGCTAAGTCACACCGTAGTAACTGCTGTGTCAGAGCTCAGTTCTTAAAATGATAAAAGTTTATCTCTTGCTTTAACTGTGGGCTCCACTCAGTTTGTGACCCACAGTGACAGAGAAGACACCATCTCAATTGCTAGTCGCAATTTTATCCAGAAGGAAAGGAGCCTTCAGACTTCCGCCTGGAGGTGACACATGCACTTCCACTCACATTTCCTGGGCTGACGCCCGTCCCGGGGCTACCCCTGCTCTGCCAGTGTGTGTGGAGAGGGGAGGTGTTTCGGTTGGCAGCACTAAGCCCTAGCGATCCACACTTCTGGCCAGCAAGCACTGGGTCCCCTCCCTTCCTCTGTGCAGCCCAGCCCCATATCCCAGGGTGGTGTCCTGTCTCTGCATCCAGGGCTGAGTCCAGGATCTTTGAGCAATGCCCGGTAGCTTCTTCATCAGGCCCAGATCAAGCCCCTCAGAGCCCGGGGATCTGTGACCCAGCAAGTGTAGGATGTGTGCCCCTAACATCCAGTTGGCCATATAGGCAACCATGATGAATGGCCCCACTCGGAGCAAGGAGGACAGGCCGGGCCACAGTCACTGGTCTACAATAACCAGGCAGATGTGGTGTGGACCCGCTCCGGGCTGTCTCTTGATGAGGTCCTGGTCCTGCTCCTGGGGGTGGCTTGCTGCTTGTCGCCCTTCAAGGCACTGGGCCCCTCCTCTTGGGTGGTTCTTCTTTGGCATGGTTTGGACATTTGTCCCCTCTCAATCTCATGTTGAAATGTAATCACCAGTGTTGGAGGTGAGGCCTGGCCGGAGGCGATGGGGTGGATCCCTGATGAACGGCTTGGCACCATTCCCTTGGTGATGACTGAGTTCACGTGAGATCTGGCTGTTTAAAGTGTGTGGCACCTCCCCCTTCCCTCTCTTGCTCCCACTCCTGCCATATGAAGCACCTGCTCCTACTTTGCTTTCTGCCATGATTGGTAGCTCCCTGAGGCCTTCCCAGAAACCAAATAGATGCAGGCATCATGCGTGCACAGCCTGCCCAACAGTGAGCCAATTAAATCTCTTTTCTTTATCAATTACTCATTCTCAGGTCCTCCTTCATAGCCATGCAAGAGTGGCCTAACAAACACATCCCTTTTCCATTCGCCTCCATGGCCACATTCACTGTGGGCATCAGATGCACTCCCTCCCAGACCCCTTCTTGTTTACAGATGGTGGATGCCAAGGGTCACTTTCATTCCCTAAAATCTTAGTCTCTCTTAGCCACAGTGTGTGGTTCTTTGGCAGTAAAGTCTTCAAGAGCTTAGTGAGCTGCTTCTCTGTTTGGTTCCACACAGCACACACATCAAGAGCTGCATGCTCAGCGACTCTGTAGGTCTTCCTAGTAGACTTGCCACGTTCCCTGGCTTCCTTACTCCTGTGGCCCTCAGCAGATAGGACTGACCTGTCTATTGGTATCATGGGCTCTGCTGGGAGGCTGAAACCCTTGCCCTCTTCCGGGAGCCACTTAGTCCTTGCTAAAGGAGTCTCTAACCAAGGCAGCCTTTGGGGTTCCCTCATGTGCTAGTCTATTAAGAGATGTTAACAATGAGTCTAGGGACCAAGCACTTGACCAGCCTTGCCTGAAAGGCTGAGATCCAAACAGTCGTGGCAGTTCAAAGCATTTCCAAGTTTACTTTTTACGCTATCAAGGGAGAAGCAACTGTCTGTTCCAATCCTACGAGTCCCTGAATTTGAGGGCTCTCTGCCCCTCTGAGTCCTGCCTGCCACTGACAAGCTTATCCCTTTCTTGTAATACTTTGTTGTACAGACACTGCCAACTGCTGTGGCTAGAACTGTGTCCCCAAAAAGATATGACCGAGCCCTAATTCCCAGTATCCGCGAATGGGATTTTTTTTGGAAATAGTACCTTTGCAGATGTAATCAAGTCCAAATGAGCCACATGGGATTAGGGTGGGCCTAAACCCAGTCACTGGAGTTCTTATTAGAAGAGACGCAGAGACTCTCTGGGAAGATGCCACATGAAGATACAGGCACGGACTCACAGGGAGAAGGCCTTGTAAAGAAGGAGGCAGAGACCGGAGTGGGGCTGCCACAAGCCGAGAGAGGCCAGGTCCCTCTGGGAGCCTCCAGAAGCTAGGAAGAAACACAGAAGGGCTCCCCCAGGTCCTTCTGTGGCAGGGCGGGCTGCTGGCCACACCTTGATTTTGGACCCCTGGCCTCCTGAACTATGAGAGAATACATGTCTGTTCTCGGAGCCAGCCAGTGTATGGTACTTTTGCTACAACAGTGCTAGGAGACCAGTGCACCAACCAATACCTGGTAGCAACACACATAACACACACGTGACCTGACTCTCTGGCTCCTCCAGAAGGACCTTCACCAAATGCTTTCTTCAGCACGATGTAGATGGCATCTTCTCAGCCTTCAGTAACAGTTGCCGGTCTTCAACTCACTACTAAGACAATGCCAGGTATTTGAGGATTATTTTTTACCCTAGCATCTTTCTTCTATTTCTAGACTAGTGAGGATAAGGGTAGATTTCACTGCAGTAACAAACAATGCCAAGTCTCAGTGACCTCAAGCAACAAATGCCCACTACGCATCTTTGCTTCTGAATACACAGGCTGCCTGGTGACGCTGCTCCAGCCAGGACCGGGGCTGATGGGGCAGCCCCACGTCAAACCTGCTGCCACTGCAGCGGGAGGCTGAGAACCGCTCACTGCCTCTTAATACGCACCCCTTCTGCTCATGGGGCCACACTAAATTCAGTGGGGAAGGCCCATGTGATCCCCTGTGTGCTTGGCAAAAGAACTGGAAATATTTAGTGAACATCAACAATCACCACACAAATTAATGATTTTGTTGTTGCTGCTGCTATTGCAAATGGTTTCTTTGAAAGTGGTATTTTCTACCTGTATTTTGCTGGTGAGTAAAAATGCAGTTGACTTCTGTACTGTGATCTTGATTTTGATTATGCAACCTTGCTTAGCGCTTGTGAAATATAAATATTTGTGCATTCTGCTAGGTTTTTTATGTAGATAATCACATTGTCTGCAGATTCCGACGGTATGTTTAAAAATTCTTTTCCTTATTAGCCCGTAAATCTTTTCTTTCTTCTCTTGACTGAATACACCAGGTAGGACTTTAAGCAGCACATTGAGTGGAGTTGGTGATAGCTGGCATCCTTATTTTATCTCTGATTTTAAAGGTAACATTTCATAATTGTTTACTAAGAATGACCATTGTTGAAGGCTTGCAGTACAGACCCTCAATTCAGGTGAGGAAAATTCTTCCTATTTTTAATTTAGTGAAAGGTTAGCATTATATGATGTCGACAATTATCAAAGACTTTTCCTTCTCTATTGCAATAACTGTACTTTTTTTAAAAGTCTGTAAGTATTACAAATTAAGCTTATATATTATCTAAAGTAATAGCTTGCTTGGATCCCTGAGTTAAACACGGCTTGGTCAAGATGGATGATCACTTTACACACTGCTGGCTTAGGTTTGCTAATGTGCCAGGCCCAGGGAGGGAGCTTGCTGAGGCACCGGATACACTTTCTTGAATAAAACTGATGCAGCCTCATGCTCATGGCTCCTATGGGTTAAGACATTGTTAATTACAAGACACAGCATCCATTTCATAACCGATTTTCAGGGGGAAACCCTTGCTGCATTACATATACATAATGCTTAATAAGACACATTCTAAGCATGGATGATGTAACCGCTGAGGAAAAGCAGATGCACACAGATTATTCAATTAATGTAGTTTGGGGAGTCACTTCCTAATGTATTGAGCTTTAGTGTCTTCATTTGTCAAAGGAGGGGATGGATACTCTCTAAGGCACCCTCTGGATTTAAAATTCTATGATACCTTCTCCTCAATAATCCTAGACCGGAAGAACAACCCCACAGCCTCCTGGACCAGAGCCTTGAACTGTTCAATTTAAAACAGTAGCCGAATAAGCTCCCACGAAAAGAGAAATGACAAAGTCAACAAGAGACTGTTCACAAATGTATGAGTTCATTCTCGCATTGCTATAAGGAAATACCTGAGACCGGGTAACTGCTAAGAAAAGAGGTTTAATTGGCTCATGGTTCTGCAGGCTTTACAGGAAGCATGGCAGTGTCAGCTTCTGGGGAGGTCTCAGGAAGCTTCCAATTATGGCAGAAGGTGAAGCAGGAGGGGTGTCTCTCGTGGCCAGAGCAGGAGCAAGAGTGAGAAAAGGGAGGTACCACACAGTTTAAACAAACAGATCTCACGAGAGCTCACTATCATGATGACACTACCAAGGGGGATGGTGTTAAACCAGGGAAACCACCCCCATGACCTCATCCCCTCCCACTGAGGCAGGAAAATAGGGTTTGGAGGCAGGGAACTTAAGGTCAATTCAGACTTCAGCTATGACAGGAGATATCCTCTCCACAGAGCCTACACTGTAAATGACTTTGTAATGAGAGGTGACTACGTGCTAGCAGCCCTCCCTCCGCTCTCGGCACCTCCTCGGCCTCGGTGTCCACTATGGCCACACTTGAGGAACCCTTCAGCCTGTGGCTGCACTGTGGGAGCCCCTCTCTGGGCTGGCTGAGGCCGGAGCTGGCTCCCTCTGCTTGCCGGGAGGTGTGGAGGGAGAGGCGTGGGTGGGAACCTGGGCTGCTCCGCAGCATGAGTTCCTGGTGGGTGTGTGGGCGCGGGCTCAGCAGCCCTGCACACTGAGCATGGGCCAGTGCCACCGGCCCAGGGCAGTGACAGGCTTAGCACCTGGGCCAGCAGCTGCAGAGGGTGCACTGGGTCACCCCCCAGCACTGCCAGCCCACCTGCACAGTGCTCAAATTCTCACCGAGCGTCAGCCGCCTCCCCGCGGGGCAGGGCTCAGGACCTGCAGCCCACCATGCCCAACAACACTCCCCTAGCGCCCCCCCCCCAGTGCCCCCCCCAGCACTCCCCCATCCCCCATGGGCTCCCATGCAGCCTGATCCTCCCCAATAGGCACCGCCCCCTGCTCTGTGGTGCCGGTGGCGCAGGGTTCCATCGACCACCCAAGGGCTCAGAAGTGCAGGGGCACAGGCAAAGCCAGCTGGGCTCCTGAGGGGGGTGGGGACTTGCAGAACTTTTATGTCTAGCTAGAGGCTTGTATATGCACCAATCAGCACTCTGTGTCTAGCTCAGGGTTCATGGATGCACCAATAAACACTCTGTATCTAGCTAATCTGGTGGGGACTTGGAGAACTTTTATGTCTAGCTAGAGGATTGTAAATGCACCAAACAGCACTCTGTGTCTACCTCAGGGATTGTAAACGAACCCATCAGCACTCTGTGTCTAGCTAAAGGTTTGTAAACGCACCAATCAGTGCTCTATGTCTAGCTAATCTAGTGGGGACTTGGAGAACTTTTATGTCCAGCTAGAGGATTGTAAATGCACCAATCACCACTCTGTGTCTAGCTCAGGGATTGTAAACACGCCAATCAGCACCCTGTCAAAACAGACCAATCAGCTCTCTGTAAAATGGACCAATCAGCTCTCTGTAAAATGGACCTATCAGCAGGATGTGGGTGGGGCCAGATAAGGGAATAAAAGCAGGCTGACCAAGCCAGCGACGGCAAACCGCTCCCTCCGTTTCTGAAGTGTGGTGGGTTTGTTGTTTTGCTCTTTGAAATTAATCTTGCTGCTGATCATTCTTTGGGTCTGCACTACCTTAACAAGCTGTAATACTCACCAAGAAGGTCTGCAGCGTCATTTCTGAGGCCAGCGAGACCACGAATCCACCAGGAGGGATGAACGACTCCAGACGCGCCACCTTAAGAGCTGTGACACTCATCGTGAAGGTCTGTAGCTTCGCTGCTGAAGCCAGCAAGATCACGAACCAACCAGAAGAACGAAACTACGAACACGTCCAAACATCAGAAGGAACAAGCTTTGGACACATCATCTTTAAAAACTATAACACTCACCACGAGTGTTTACGGCTTCATTCTTGAAGTCAGTGAGACCAAGAACCCACCACTTCCGGACACACACCCAGTCCCCACCTCCAACACTGAGAATTGTAATTGAACATGAGCTTCAGGTGAGGACACAGACCAAAACCATGGCAACAATGTTGCTGAAGAGCCAGGGAGAATGGGTTCTGAGGTCTGCTTCCTAAGGAACAGGACCTTTCATCCTGAAGGCTCAGCCCCCAATGGACGGCAGACGAAGAGGCCTGTGTGGGAACTGGCTAGCTGTGGGCGCTCCACGCGGTGGCTATGATGGGTGAAGCCCCCCAGCCTGCTTGTCTTCAGAAGGGCAGGAGGCCTAGCAGTTTTCTTCCCCGTTCTTATTCATAAAACTACTTGTACATGTTTACAGTTTTTTCTTTAATGGTGAAGTTACACCTCAGTGTGTTCATTATATTATTTCTGCATAAATAATAATGACCTTTATTGACAATAATTCTGTTTTGGACTAGAGGATTAATAATTTTCTGATGTTTAATGTATGAAAAATTGTATATGATAGTTTTAATCACGTCTGACTTTAAAAATATTGTGCTTAGGATTGAAATTTGAGCACATTAACTTGCCTCCTCTGTGTAAACAATTCCAAAACAGTCACTGTGGCACAAACTTTTTTTTTTTGGCTATTTGAAAAACACTCATATACAGGTTCTCAAATCTAAAAAAAGAAAAAAAAAGTTTATCTTGAGTATAAAAATGCATTGTGCCAGTTTTAGAATCTAATTGTTTTAATCTGTTTTTAAATGAACCTGATCTTTCACATTTAATTTTCCCTATTGACAGCAAGATTCAATGCCCTGATTTTTAGAAGCTTATGAAATGGGGATAAAAAGCTTTCTAAATATCAAGGAGTACTTACCAAAACCAGAATGTAATAAAAAGCTTTCTAAATATCAAGGAGTACTTACCAAAACCGGAATGTAAATGAAGTCGATGTACTGAAGAGCTGCCTTTAATTTTATCTGACGTGTACTTGGGTTCTCTTTTTAAAAAATGGATCAAATATTTGGGACATGATTTGGGCTGTGCTTGGAACTGAAAGGCTCAGAAACGGCGAGGGCGTCCTCGGCCGTGCACACGCCATCAACACGCAAGCCGCTGCTGAGAGCCCCGGTGCTGTCCTTCATCCTGGAAAGCCTTTCCTAACCGGAGACTTCCAAATTGAAAATCGCAACGCTCTGTTGAAGAGAAGACAGAGCCCGTTCTTAGGCATTACAAAAATTATCCAACCTACTTTTAACATCAAACTCAGCGAACCAGCCCAGAAACGAAGTAGGCAGCCGAGAAGCGGGCACACACCGTCCGTGCCTCTGCAGGTGCACTCGGGGCGCGAGGGAACAGCACCTCCCTCCAGAGCAGCCCCAGGCTCCCAGGCCTCACCCACAAGATTCCCTGCGTGCTCCTTGATTACCACCCCCGGCCCCAGCACACTCTTAACTTTCAGAAAATGGCTTTGTGACAATCCAGGCGCATCTGATCTCACAGGAGAACCACTCGACAGCGCGATGCTTGCGGTATTTACTCAGCATCGCTCTGCCCCACCGCACGTCGCCAGATAACACCAGACAAGATTAGAGATGAGTCACAGAAAACCCTGGAGGATAAATTAATTACACTTTCTGTGTAATTCCTTTTGGCAAAAGAGAGCTCTAAATGCTGTGACCGTTTCTAACATATAATAGTATCTCTAGCTGTGATGTTCCAATTAGCAAAAGTAGTGAGGAAGAATTGTTCAAAAGTAGTGAGGAAGAATTGTTCAAAAGTAGTGAGGAAGAATTGTTCTACAGCATCCAGACAGAATTTCTGTTTTCTTTCTCTTTTGACACACTTCAAATCTCATTTAAAAGAGCCCACTCCCCATGTTCCAAACAAAAATCACTTACTAATTATTATAGTGATCTCTTATTCAAGTGACTTTTAAAGATGGGTCCAAAGGAAAGACCTTTAGCATCAAAAAGTACTACAGAATTTCAGTGTTCTCAAGGACACGACTGAGGTTCTGTCCACAATGTTTCTATGACTAGGAGAGAGAGGAAAGGAGGGAGGGAGGAAAGGAGGGAGGAAGGAAGGGAAGGAAGGAAAGAAACAAAGAGGAAGGGAAAGAGGGAAGGAAGGAAGTACAGAAGGAAAGAAGAAAAAGGGAGAGGGAGGAAAGGAAGTAAAAACAGAGGGATGGAGGGAAGGAGGAAGAAGGAGGGAGGGAGAAGGAAACTTTTCTAATTAGATATTACAAAGCAGATTAGCACCAACTTAAATTATCTTGTCCAATAAAACTCATGTTTTATTTTATGGAACAAAAATATTTTGATTATATTTGCAAAAGACAATAATGAGTACATAAATATCCTATAACTGTAAAAACTAATTAGCAGTTTCTTGTTAATTGGGCATTTAAAGTATTTAAAATTGCTGAGTTTAGTTGTGGTAATTAAATAATATTACATAGTTTTTAATTTCAGATTTGAGGTAAGCATCTATTGTTACATTAGATTTTTTGGTTTTGGATTGTTTTTTATTTTTGTTTTTACTGAACCCCCTAGAACAATGCTTCTCTAGTGATCTCTGGGGAAGTGCCAGTTTGTTTTCTAACTTCAATCCATTGACGACCCTACATTGTAAGATGAAATAAAAATAAATTACTAGAAAAATGAAAAACAGAAAATACAAGTTCTAATCAAAATAAATGTAATATGACAAATCCCTGAAAAGCTGTCTAAGCTTTCTCTCAATTTCTGCACTTGCTGTGGAGTGACCAACAATTCGGGTCCCAACCCATCTGAAAGCCACATGTTGAGCCGTGTAGCCTAGAGTTGAGAGTCGTGGAGTGTGTGTGGGGTGCCCAGGGTGTTCCCTGGCTCAGGAGAAGCGCAGACGGGCCTACCTCTGCTCTGCCACAGGCTGAGCATCAGCTTGAGGTACTCACAGTTGTCGATATCAGATTGGACTCCCTTCCTCCCAATGCTGACAGTTTTGCAAAGCTGGCCTTTCAGCAATTGCTGTGATAAGAAGCAAGTACTGTACAAAAGTCAGGGTTGCACAGGAAAGGAATGTGGCAGTGCCAGGTTTGATCCCAGGTCCCAAGAGGCCGGTCAGTGCCCAGGAGACACACACCTATTAAGTGACTGTGGTCATTTGAAAGTAAAATCAAAGTATGGCTTAGTCTTTCAGTTTCATGTATGCTTATTGTTTGGACCTAACTACTTAATAAACAGACTGTTCAGTATCTTTTTTTGCCTGGAGCACTATGAAAAAAATTATTGCATTGCTAACATCACCCCAAAAGATTAGAAATGAGTCTTCTTTGTCTTTGAATCCTGAGGGCCTGGCTTATATTTAAGTGCTCATTGTGAAGTCAACCAGTGAATTAATGAAGGAGGGGTCAAGCCATCCATCGATTCCCCCTCCTCCATCTTTTAAATTTAGAGACATTGAAGTAACGTGGCACTTCCTTGCAATCCACCGGTTGACATTTCTGTTGAAATCGTGAAGATGTCATAAACGGTTCTCAGATAATATTCCTTCATCTTCTACCTAATGTTTGTTTCTGAGTCTTAAACTTCCAGATGAGACCATCTTCTCTTCTGGGACTCCTCCCAACAACGTTTTCAAGTACCATTTTGCGCAGAAAGGCAACCGGGGTCTGGGTGGAGGGCTGGAGTGAAAAGCATGATACCCTGTTGCTGGACTCCTACTTCTGTGGAGAAGGAGCAGGGCAGGCACCCACTGGGTACAGAAGTTGTGCACTCAGAGCAAGGTGAGAACCATGAATGTTTTAAAATAACGGAATTAAAACAGAAATGTTTAAATCTCATTTGGATTTCTTCTTTCTCTAAATCATTCATTACTCCTGGATGTTTTAACTAATGTTTTCCTCATGTGACATTTGGACCCACTAGACTTTTAAAGTCACAAATTGTCCCTAATAACAGCACAAATTATGTAGGCTGTTAACTATCACGGCATTTTTTAGCACTTTATCTTTTGCATGCTACAGTGCAATCATTTTCATTAACCATTCCTCATATCCAAGCAAGGTGGCAGCTTAGCATAATAATAAAGCAATTTCCTGCTCCGTGATGTTGACATGGAAGGCCGAGGAAGTGACACTCTGTGGCTGAAGTCACAGCGCAGGGGAGTGCTCAGTCAGAGAAGAACTCGACCCCATGGGTGCCAGTGACCACCCAGTGCACGCAGCTCTCCCACCGAAGTCTCCTGCTGGCCACCGGGCGTGGGCTGGGCTTGCAGGACTGGGGTCTGCCACCTTTCCTTATTCTGCGGAAGAAGCACAACTAGATGGGGCTGAAGATTTATTTCTCTTCCAGCCACCAAGATGCATTTCTGCTGGCCTTCTTAAAGACTATTAATCGCTTCTCTGGAAATTAACGTAAGACCACTCAAGAGCGAAATTGAGTAAGAGAAGTTTTTTATTTTCAAAAAAGAAGGAAAAGAACAAATGGAATAAGTTGGTAATTCAAAAGAGAAGAAGAAATCGATTAAAAATCAGTCATTATGGCCATGTCCACAGAGACATCCACTGAGCCTGGTGCCGTTCCCTGCTGTCCACGGAGGCATCCGCTGAGCCTGGTGCCATTCCCCACAGTCACGTAGACGATGCAGGTGACTCCTCCACAAGCCCAGGAGTGGGGCACATCCTGACAGCAGCACCGCTGCCAGATAGGGGCCAAGCTGGGATTCACAACTCAATCCCCCACAACGGGAGCAGTGCTCACTGGACAGCCAGGCCTGGCCTCCAGTCCCCCAAGGTCCTTAGACATAGCCCTCAAAATGCCGTCTTCCACCAGCTTTACTAAGTCACTGCAACCTGTGGCATCACAGAGTTACTGCAGACAGAGGCAGGAGCCGTGCGGTGATTGCCAAGGCCACTGGTCAGAACCATTCCTGCCTCTTTCCCTCCATGCTTCAGGAAGCACAAGACGCTCACTGTGGCTGCAGAGTGGACATCTAAGCACTAAGGAGGCGCTGGACCTGGGGTCTGCCACATGTTCTCCCTTTTAGTGGCGTGTAAAAGAGGTGGCATCCTTGATAGGCTCAACCCCTGACCCCCGCCCTCGTCAGGAGGAATCTTTTCACTAAAATCTCTTTGCAAACCATTTGAGGGAGTCCAGACTTCTGCCAGGCCGCTGACTGATCCATGAGTATGATAGTGACTTACATCAGCCACGACGACGACGACGACTGATCCATGAGTATGATGGTGACTTAACATCAGCCACGGCGATGACGCCAACAGATCCATGAGTATGATGGTGACTTACATCAGCCACGACGGTGACGCCGACAGATCCGTGAGTATGATGGTGACTTACATCAGCCACGACGACCACCGTGACCCAGAGCCTTTGGGAAAGGGTCACCACAGAGCAGACAGGCCCCAAACCCTGGGCAGGGCTGGAGACTGCTGCACACACCCATGCAGTCACTGGGCACGGGCATTTCCCAGGAAGACTGTTCTGCCTGGAGAAGCAGAAGGTGGGGACAGAGCCTGCATCGCCCATTTGGGGAACAAAGACCTATGTTTGCACCGGCTCCAGGCAGCCTCCCTGTGTCCACAGCCCTCGCGTGCCCTGGACCTGTGAGCTCTGGATCACACAGCCGGGCCTCGTGCTGGACACGGGATGAGGATTATGAGCACTTAGTTCACAGTTTGGAAGGGAAGCAAGACTCAATTTTTACGTTTCTTCCTCCTCCAACTGCCACCTCTTATTTCTTCAGTTTCATGGAACAGGAATTCTACAAGGCAGTGGAAAGAGGAAGGGAAAGGAGGTGAAACTCATCAGCTAAGTCTGCACTGTATTCATAGTAGGTCCAAACGGAAATTAGTTGGGAATCGTGCTCAGAATGAACATTTGGGGATTCCCTTTATCCATAGTCCCGTGTTTCTGATGACCACAGGTGGCATGTTGGCTGTGCCTGCTGGAGAACAGGGCTATGGACCTGGGCTCATGGACACAGACAGCCCCGGCCTGCGTCCAACTGGACCTGAGGACACAACCCCCTGGCCAGCCTATGGCCCCCACCCCCACCCCCCGCTGGGCTCTGGCAGGCGGCTCTCACTTCTCTGTTCCTCAACGCCTCCTCTCAAGTCCCCTCAGTGCACCCCCGGGCCACGTTCAGCTTCCTCCCACACCCTCGCCCCACTCTGGAATCCCCAATGTCCTCTTGTCTGGGCCCACCCACTTTTCCAGGGCCAGCTCAGACCCAGCATTGCCTGGCAACCCTCATCCCATTCCAGTCAGCCCCCTGGAGGTGCTCTCATCTCTTCTTTGCGGCTTCCTTCATGGGAGTGATTATGATTTCCCTTTGATGATTTTAAGTTTATGCAGAACAAGGCTTAGAGCTCCTATTTCTCTTTATCCCCTGTGGGGCCAACTCAGCATTGGGCCCACAATCAATCACATTGAAAGACATCAAAACATCTAAACATCAACGTGTGGCCAACTGTAAAGATAATACCTTATTTTTATTTTCTTTGGTTTTATATTTTTGTACTTGTTCAAGACGATTTAAAAAAAAAAACATGTCTTTGAATTTCCTTTTTTTTACATTTTGCAATTCATTGCGTGAGAGTTAACATCAAGGCTGATGAGTGGTATTTTCCAATGCGTTTTTATAAGAATGCTCACAGGTGCTTAGAGGGCATTATTCAATTGCAGGTATTTAAATTATACAGCACTACTTATAATCTTATGTAATTCACATGCGTTTCTCAAGCTCCATGAGCCCATTCTCAGGTCTTAGTGGTTCTGTGGACTCCAGGCGTGGCCACTGCTGTCGTGGGTGGCTCACGTGGCCACGTTGGATGTTGTTGAGCATGACGATGTCACTGTAAAGCTGACGGCAGGAGGCCACAGGACCAGACGCGCCTGGAGTGTGTGTGTCCAGGCCCATGCGGGCTCCCTCTTTGCTCCTGTCATTGGGACCCCACACATTTTATGCCCCAGCCCTCCTTTGACCGCAGACCCCAAGGTCTTTGCGTATGGAGCATCGTCTAATACTGAACAACCCCGTGAGGGGAAAACTATCACCACTCCACAGACGGGAAAATGAGAGCTTCCATCGAGCATCAGCCAGGTTCTCCAGAGAAGCAGAGAAGCAGGCCAGTAGGAGATTCGTTGTTTCGTTTGTTCAAAGAGATTGGCTCCCGCGATTGTGTTGGGCTGGCAGTTTCCACGCAGCAGGAGGCTGGAAACTCAGGCAAGAGCTGGTGCTCCCATCATGGGGCAGAATTCCTTCCTCGCTGGGGACCCCACTTTGCTCTTAAAGCCTTCAGCTGACAGACAAGGCCCATCCACACCAGAGAGGGTCCCCTGCTCACCTAAAGTGAGATGACTGCAGTGTCGGCCATGTCTACATGGCATTTGTGTAGCTGCAGCCAGCGTCTGGTGAGATCACTGGGCCCTGCAGCCAGGCCACGCTGCCCACCGGGAAAGCTCTACCCGAGCACGCCCAGCACCAGGGGCACAGGGCCAGGTGGACAGGCCTGTCTCACCCCTGTCTCTCCCGTCCACTCGTGGCTTGGCCACTGGACCCACGCAGCAGTGCCAACGTGTCCCTGGATGGCAACATGCCTCAGCCATCGGGTAGGGCTGCTGTCACCTGCAGCCCAAGTGTTCCTCCCGCTCCCGTGTGGCTCTACGCACGTCCTCCCTGTCAGGGCTGCTGCCACCCCCAGCACCACAGCCCCGCTCTGCCCACCCCCCCAACCCTCGCCTGGGTCAGAAGGAACTAACTTCCTAATTTGCATTCTAAATACAAAGGAGAACAAAAGAGGGAAATACCAACAGCACCCGGAGAGGTGGTTTGGGAGCTACAGGTGAGTTCAATTTGCAAGTGATGCCAAGGAGCGTCGCGCCTCAGCGTCGACCTCCTCCCCACGCCAAGGCCTGCAGCGAGCGAGCCATGCAGAGGGGGCCGATCCCACCTGGGCCACAGTCCCTGCTGGCCCAGGCTCAGGAGCCGGCTCAGAGCCAGAAGGGAAAAACCCACAACCCTCAGGGACAGAAAGCCAGGACACCAGGAGAAGAGAGAGGATCCCCCTGGACGCTGCAAAGACCTCTAGTGGCCCCTGAGGTCCCATGACCGTAGCCAGGCCAATCAGAGCTGCCCAGGAAGGCCCTGCCTGGCCCTGTCCCTCCCACCTGGCTGCATCGGCCTCTCCAGAACTCACTGAGGAAGATTGGAGGAAGGAGGCCCCCAGGGACAGTCAGGACTGCCAGATCAGCACGTGGCCCCACAAGCCACCAGAACGGAGCCTGGACACAGAGCCAGCAGGCTGGGCAGCCACCCAGTCCCCAGGGCACTGAGCTGGGCCTGCATCTGGACACCTGGAGGGTGTGAGCTGGGCCTTAATAAGGGAGGCTGCCCCCTCTGCCTTCATAGAAGGCTGGTTGTTCCAGGTTTCTTAATTACTTGGCTACAAATCTCCCCTCTAGAGAAAAAGGCTAGAATGGGCACTAAGGCTTCAGTGCAACCACAAATATTGATTTTTCGAGGGCCAATGCAAATACCAGGCAAGAGCAAGCCCTTCACCGGGGCGGTCACTGGCCTGCCCTCTCTGGCCAGGGACAGGGGCTCCGCCAGGAGCAGCATGATGTGCCATGCGGAGCACTCTCGAGCACGCCCATCATGCTTCTGTCTTTCCACAAACCCGGGGGTTGCCAGCTTGTTGTAGGAGAGGAGGAGTGCTTTTTCATTTCTTTCTCCCTTCCCCTCCTTTTTTTTTTCTTTTTGTGAAAAATGGAATTTTAAAACAGCCAGCAACTAAGGCAAACTCCCAGGATAACAGTCTTAACAATTTACATAATGCAAGCGTTGAAGAGGAGGACGTAAAGCAGGCCTTTTAAGTCGCGTGACACAGTTTAAAACAGTGAACCCTGGCTGGCATTAAACCGCAGTCCTCTGAAGCACAATTAGAAAGCACTTAAGGCTGCTCAGCCAATCGGGGGCCTTGATTGGCTGGGCATCCCTAACCCTGTAATCTTCCATCCCGGGGGCCAGCGCGCCGCCGACAACTGCCGGTTGGACTGTTCCACTGGGCTGACTGTCAGGGGCAGCTAATGCTCGTTTTAGGAAATATTACTTTTTGTTGCTTTGGTCCATGTTCCCAAAATGTCAATCCTCCATAATGGGACCCTTTGTTCCTGCCTAATCGCGCTGATTACCGCAGGGGCTGCTGGTGGAGAAGGATGCTGGCGGAACCAGGGGTCTGAACACCAGGCCTAGCCGCAGCAGCTCCCAGACTCATGGCAGTTTTGTGGGGACACGTCTGCCAGCCCCTGTGTGGATCATACTTTTGCGGTGTTTGTTTCTTTATTGCACAATGGGGATGGTGGCACACATCTGTCAGGCCAGCCAGGGTAAATGAATAATGACTTATATTTGGAAATCTGTGAACAACGCACACTCAAGCCAAACGTCCGTTGATGTATTCATTTAGCCATTCAGTTGGCACTTACTGAGCACCTATTTAGTGACAGCTCCACGTCAACACTTGGCTTTCGGGTATGGCTTCAGCACCTCCAGAGCTCATTGTTCTGTGTGGGAGACACAAGTGTACACCACACGCACACGTACACCACACATGTGTACACCACTCACGTGTACCGTGTAACATCACACTATGCTGCAATGCGGGCTATACTGAAGTGATGTGAAAACGTGCTGGGGAGTCCGGGCATGGCTCCCCCACAAGAGGCCCCGTGAATGTCACCGGCCTCGCCGGTTCTGCATCCTACCTTGTGTGACCTCAGGGCGCTGCACTCACCCCGCTGAAACTCAGTTACTTGACCTGTGAGCTGGTGGTACAGGAATGCCTGCCTTAGAGAGTTGTGGGGATTAACTGAGCTCATGCATGCAAAGTGCCTGGCCCACAGCAGTGCCTGACCCAGCCGCGAAGGCTGTCCTTACGTCATCCTCGTGCCCTCTATTGGCGATGTCGTATCAGCAACACCCAGGGGACGCATGCATCGCCCACCTCCATCCGAGGGTCTGCTGCTCCCAAACATGAGCCAGCACAAAATAGTGATGTCAGAGGCACTGGTCGTGCCCTTAGCGTGTCTGCACCAGAGCGCGTGCTCACACGAGGATGGCCACTGATCGGTGAATGTGTGTCTGCTCGTAGGAGGGTTTGCTTGAATGATACTTGTGAGTGAAGGGAGCAACAGATGAAAGGTCGTGTCCTGTCATGGTCCTGCAGGAAGGCAGAACCACTTCAAGTCCTTAACGCAGAGAGCATCTCAGGTAGTTGCAGGAGGCTGGGGAGTCGGCAGGCAGCTCGGTCAGGACTGGATTTGGGGCAGTGGGACCAGCGTGGGATCTGGACAGCAGAGGAGATGCAGCCCCGCTCAAAACGCTGCCCAGCGTGCAGAGGAACCTGGCTTCTCGTTCCTCCCTCCCCAGGCTCCCTCCAGGCAGAAGGCAGAAGGTCAGGCACCTGGAAACCAGCCCCTAAGGGTCAGCTCCTCTGCACGCCCAAGCAACACAGAGCAGAGCAAGGCATGGACCCAGGGGCATGGGGCTCTGGACAGGCACGGCTCACAGAACTTTTTAAGCTGGAAATTTACCCTGGAGATGACTTATTTCAACTTCCTCTCATTAAACCTGAGGACATTGAGCCTGAGATTCTTACGTGAGGTCCCTGTAGTCAGAGACTTTTTAATAGTTATGAACACTCGTACGCCTGCATGCAGCCCACACCCACACACACAGGCACACACATAGCTGGACACTCATACTCACAGGCACGTGCTTGTCAGCTCAGTGCATACACAAGAGCACACCTACACACGTACACATATACACACACAGATGCAGGGCCTGCACATACGTGCACGCACACATGCATGTGCACTTGTGTGCTCGGCCCTCAGTTGCATTCTGCTCCTAACAGAAGGGGCACCCGAGGCTTCCCCAGTCCCTCAGGAGTCCCACTTTCTGCTTTCTTTTCCCAGCCGAGCCACTTCCCACCAGCGCTGGGCAGGCTTAGCCTGGTGCTTGACCTGCTTCCCCCATCTACATGATGCGGATGATCAGTGCTCACACGGGAGGTCCCCAGCCATGTGCCTGGCACACACTGGGCCACAAAAATAGAACATATCATTACTCCCGACCCTCACCCTGACTCCTTCACCAGCCCACACACAGCCCACCAAGGCCACGCTGGGGGACAGGGCTGCAGCCTCCATTTCCTGGCCCCCTCGGCCAGCCGCCTAGTGCAACCCTCTCCACCTGGCAGCATTTGGGGGCCCGTGATGTTATCTCCTGTGCCCATGCGATGGCTCCAGAGCTTCAGCCCACATAGCTCTCGGTTTTGGTGACACGTGCCAGCCTGCACGGGGAGTGAAACGTACGTCCCATCTTACGCATTTAGGTAATCATACGCCGATGCCTGGCGAAAAGCACTTTCTTCAAAAGTTAGACTACAGACAGACTGGGCTGTGTGGACTGTGCCTTTTCCCTGTGGAACAGGGATCTCGCCTCCCACTTACGTAGGAAAGGCGCTGCATGGCCCCGTCTGCACCAGCTCCAGGATCCTCCATGGCACACCCTGGGGTGTGGGATTCTGATTTCAGTGCTAAGCTGTGAGTACTAAATGCGCTGTCCCCTGACAGCTTCATAATGTGAATGCTGCTGCCCTGTGCATCTTACTAGAGGCCCACACTGCCTGCCTGAGGTCGGAAGCATCTTCTCCATGCGCCCTGACACATGGTCTCAGGTGCCAAGTTTCTGCATGCTAATGTCTATATATTGCAAAAATACAGTATAAACCCAAATTATAGACCTCTGCACACAAAACCACAGCAAGCACAGCTTTGTGTCAGGTCTAATAGGCACCCAGTGAACACTTTCCAGAAAGCTTCCATTCTTCATTACTGCTCCCAAGGAGCTACCACAACGTTGGAGAAAAAAAGCAATCAGTGCGTCAGGATCTGCAAACCTGCATACACTGAGAGCATTTGGAATTTCACACTCTAGCATCGTCGGTGCACTCAGCAAGCTGGAGGCGGGGCGTGGGCGAGCGGTGGAGCACGTGCGGGTGCAAGCCTTACCGTGGCCCCTGCCACCATGGAACATCAAGTGAGCGTCTGCTTTCTCTCTGCAAGCCAACGCAGAGAAGTGAGTTAGCTACTCTCACCCACAGAGTGGACAGAGACTAGACCGGGCATTAAGGAGCCCAGGATTTCGGGTCTGACTTTGCTGTTAACTCAAGTGGAGCCTGGCAAGCTGGGCATCAGCCCGGGCTCTCATTCCAGGGACAGGCACTGCTACGGACCCAGGTCCGCCCGGGCTCTCATTCCAGGGACAGGCACTGCGACGGACCCAGGTCCGCCCGGGCTCTCATTCCAGTGACAGGCACTGCAACGGACCCAGGTCCACCCGGGCTCTCATTCCAGTGACAGGCACTGCAACGGACCCACGCTCTCCACACTTTGCAGAGCAGACCCAGTCAGTGAGTTGCAAGCAGAATTTAAGGAAAAACTCATTTTAAAAATATTGAAAATAATTTTAAAATGCAATAGAAAGGATTAGGATAAAGTTGAAACTGTTGATGTGCATCACATGTGAAGTTTTGATTTAGAAAACTTTCGTTTGGGCTGTGGGTGCGTGGTCCTGGATGCTGCTGAAAAATGCTTTTCTTATTGTGAGTTACAGTTTAAAAGGTGAAAATACTATAAGACAAGGTGTGAAGTGCCCGTTCATGTTTCTCACAGAAAACGGCATTTAGAAAGTCGATTACCCCATTGGTTCACAGTCGCTTTACCATATACAGTCAGATCTGCAGGCCAGCCGTGTTCGGTACTGACCGCCAGAACTTTTGTCGACAACACGTCCCTGGTCCCCACTGGCCCCCTCATTGCCCAATTCGAGGCCGGCCTCCCGTCGTGAGTCCTGCAGCCCCCTGTTGCTGACCCCGGGTTGTGACTGCCCGGCACGGTGCTCCCACCCAGACATTGAGAACAGCGAGATCGGTGCCTGATGGCCTCGTTCCTGGCAGGCAGGGCCCCTCTCAGGGCCCCTGTGCTCCTGGCATGAAGATCCTGATATGTTTCTTGCTCCTCAGACACTGGAGGTCCCTAGCCCCTCTTAGAGTCATCTGTAAGCATGTACGGCAGCCAAGGCAGGACTTCTTGTGGTGGGCATGCTCCAGCCGTTGCCCCCTTGGCAGAAGCACAGCTGTGGGGCAGAACCCTGATGTCCCTTTCCTGCGGAGACTGACAGGCGTCTGCAGCCTGGTATGTGCTCCACTTCTTTCCCAAGTGCAAGTTGCCCCCGTAAACCATGTTGTAGCTGCGCCTCAGGTGTTCCTGGTGGGTGAACGGAATCCTCGCGCCTGTGGTTGCAGCATCGGCAGAGCCAACCCCCGTCCCTGGTCTCAGTAAGGCAGAGTCTAAAGGAAAAGAAATGGCTAGCTGGTGGGATTGTCCTTTCTTACAGCTCTGGAACCAACAGCGTCTCAAGATCTTTCTTCAGGTCCACTGCCCTTTCCTGAACAGGACAGGACAGGTCCTTCAGGCACACACAGCCCATGTCGGGGTTTTGAATGTGATTGGGTCCCTTGGAGTTCTTCTCTAACTGGACAGTCTCTTTCTAAACATGCCAAGGTAAAGAAAGTATTGGGAAGACTCAAGCTAAACTCACTTGGTAGATACCAAAACCGACCACAGGCCACGTGAGACGCCCTGGACTCAGATCATATATAACTGGCCCCATGAGGGAGAGTGAAGGCGTCCTGAGAACTGGCCTGGCTGAAGCTGGCAGGACGGCCGGGCGCACAGTCTGACTCTGCAACCCTGGCACCGTGGAGCCCTGGTCGGGTCAGGCTGCACGCCTGCACACCGACGCCGTGAAAACGCAGACCCAGCACACGCTCAGCTCCAGCCAGGCGACCTCCCACTGCAGCCAAGCACAGCAAAGGATGCCAGAGAGTGACGCTTATCCTGGTAATTTTTGTTTATTTGCTTTTTTGTTTTTGAAAATAGGTGACGGGAGAGAAAAACACACACAATGAATGAAATTTTGTGAGAAGTCCCAGAGGGCATTTCCACAGCACCCCGGTCCTGTGGGTAAGAAGCTGCTGCAGTTCTGAGCGTCCTAAAGGCCCCTCCAGCCTGAGGGATGCACGCACACCCATCCCATCTCCACCCCACAGAGGGAGATCGGCCCAGGGCAGGGCACCGGCTCAGGCACTGGGGCGTGGAGAATTCATCGGGCCAGTTCCTCCTGGGGTCTCCCGTGGCTGTGCTCAGAGTGTAGGCTCTGATGATAAAGACTGAAAAAGAGAAAAACGGCTAAAACTTGGCAGAGAGTTGTAAGGGGGAAGGATAAAGTACTGGCTTGACTACTTAAGATCAGGTGCCCTGAGAACACCACGTTCAAGCTGAGAGCATTCCAGCCAGGGCCAGCCCCGGAGGGGAGGCGCTGAATGCTAAAGGAACCCGCGGCCGGTGGTGTGGCTGCAGCTTGCAGGCTGAAGGGCGGGTGGGAGCGCCACAGCAGCTCGCACCAAGAGTGGGGTCTCAGCCCAAGAGAGACAGGAAGCACGGAATGGTTTTAAGCTGGGGAGTCAGATGATAAGATTCACATATTTAAGAGACGGTTCTGGCCGGGTGCAGTGGCTCACGCCTGTAATCCCAACACTTTGAGAGGCCAAGGCAGGCGAATTGCCTGAAGTCAGGAGTTCAAGACCAGCCTGGCCAACATGATGAAACCCCGTCTCTACTAAAAATAAAAAAAAATAAAAATAAAAATTAGCCGGGTGTGGTGGTGGCCGCATGTAATCCCAGCTACTCGGGAGGCTGAGGCAGGAGAATCGCTTGAACCTGGGAGGCGGAGATTACAGTGAGCTGAGATCGTGCCACCGTACTCCAGCCTGGGCAACAAGAACAAAACTCCATCTCAAAAAAAAAAAAAAAAAACAGAGACAGTTCTGATGTGGCAGACAAGTGGCACTTGCACAAGGGTGGAGGCAGGTCAGCCCTAGGCCAACTCTGAGTGAGTGTCAAAGGCTCGGGCTGTGGGACTGGTGGGGAGATGGGGAGCGTTGGGCTTGCTTGGGGTGCAGCTTGAATCTAGAGTTGACTGAATGTGTTGGTGGGTGAAACGTGGTGGAGAAAGAAAGAAAGAACGCTGCCATAGGTGACTTCTAGATTTGGGACGTGAACAGTTAGAATGACGATGGAGCCATTTGCAGAGGCGAGGACGGCTGGGGCAGAGGATTGTTTCAGGGACAGATGGACAGATGGGAAGTAAAGGGTCCTGTTTTGGACAAATTAAGTGAGATGCCTACCAGCCGTCAAGCACAGAGAACACAGGTGACAGCTCTGTGAGCCCAGAGTTCTGGAAGAGGCCCAGCTCCGAGAGCTGTGGTGGTGACCGCAGGGCGTGTGGCCTTGAACCAATGGTCTGTGATATTTAGGAATGGGCACCTCTCGTCCAGCATGGTGTAGACTGTGGTCAGAGGTGTAGACCACAGCCTCCTCTTATTCTGGCTCCAGGCTCAGGACCAACCCACGTATGTGCTTCCACATGTTAGTAGATCAAAGAACGGAGTGCCACGCACAGGCACAGGTATTCCATCATGAAGGAAAATGGCAGCTGTCCCCACTGCTCAGAGGCGGGGGAGGATGGATCAGCTCCGTCTGATCACCCTTGAGTCTCCGTCACCCAACCCTGGAAAAGTCACCCCAGCACAAGCCCCGTGCCCATAGAGGACTCAGGTGCCCACAGGTGAGGCCAAAACGCCGAGGGGCCCTGGAATTAGCGGGCTGGACTACCACAAATGACCTGTTCCCATCCACGGGACCCACATACTCACCCATCCCCACCCACCGCCCAGGGCCAGTCCACAGCCCACCTGCTCCAGGAAGGAAGGGCCCCCTGGAACACCGGCTTTCATCTCCAGGTTCCCTGCGAGGGAAATTGGGAGCTTCCTGGAGCAGAACATCTGTGATGCGCGATCCCAGCGCTTCCTCTGCTTCCTGGAAACACGGTGTTTCCGGAGCTCAAGTGACATTCCAGCTCCTCCAGCCTACAACCCTCTGCTCAAAAGCAAAGGAGAAAGGTGCCTCTGCCGTAAGATTGAAATTGTTTTGGGAAACTCTCTCCAGTCCGTGCCTGGAAACAAACCAATGGATGGTCATCTCAACAGCACAGGGCGCCCTCTGCGGAAAAATTATAGGGTTCAGGCTGTTTAGCCAGTAGCAAAATTGTGTTGAAAATCAAAAATTGCTTTATAATGTACTTAATAGAGTTTTCTGAGAGAATGCATGGGCCTCTGTACTTTGAGATCTTCTGAAAGATCTGGTGGAAGCTTTGTCCCATAAATGAGCCATTTTCTTTCTCATAAATGTGTCAATACAGGGGGAGATGCTTTTGCTTAGTCCAAAGAACAAATACAGTAGTTTCCCTGATCATCTCATGCTAAATATATTATTTTACCCTAATCATAAGGAATAAAACAGAAGGAGTTAGCTGACTGATTAAGGGAATTCAAATTACTTTTGAAATCTGGGAGTGTTCAGGAGAAAGAGTTGGGGCTCGTACAAGTGAGAGATTAGAGAAATTCTGAAAGAATTATCTCTCTCTTTCTATAAATAAAAATTAAGTTTATTTTCAAAAAATTCAACACAGAGGTTGGTGTTATTTGGTGTGGGGTGATTTAATCAAAGGGTGCATGTTCAGGGTGCTGGTAACTGGAGACTTTTGCAATCCCCGCCTTGCCAGCCCATGTTGGGGGGACCCTCAGGAATTAGGGTGCCCCACAGCCATGTGCCCGCAATCTGAGCTACCTGTCAGGAAGCAAGAGGTACTTAATAGAGGAGGATATGCCCCGCACCCACACCAGGCCCTGGGGACAGCCGCCCTAATTGCTACAGATGACCCGCAAGTTCCTAAAGGGCTGATTTTGTAGACTCACGTAAGCTCTGGGTAGACCCGGCTGATTTTCCCAAGCCTCTCAGCCAATCGGCTGCCTCATCAAGTGTACAATGTAGATTTGGATGAATTTTCTGACATTTTCCCTGCGAGTTACATGAACAATACAGGCATTCCCATTCATGATGTATGTAAATGGCCCATCCTCATCTCCCAAATGTCACTGTGGTGGCCAAATCAAAAAATCAAAACTGGTTCTTTCTCACCAGGTCCCACCACGTGTGTGTTGCCTGGTGGATTTTTGGGGAGAGGACTCAGGAAGGAGAGACCTAGACAGACACATTGACACAGCTCCCGGGCCTGGGGTGGGTGAGAAACCAAACCCCACCACACCCAGCACCCAAAGCCCAAATCCACCCACACTTTGAGGCAGGTGTGGGGAGAAGGCCTGCCTGCAGCCCCTCTTGCCCCCAGCCTCACCACGGGGACCCCAAGCTGGGCTCTGGAAAGAAATTTGGTTTTCAGACAAAGTGGCTCCCAGAGAGTCGGGTGGGATGACAATGATAAGAGCCACGTCCTGAGATTTCCTGGTTAAGCTGCTAATTTCCCAGGATAAAGGAAAAAAAAAAAAGCATAAAACTGAAATAAAAAGAAGAAAATTTTATAAATTTAATAATTATCTACAAAAGAAAGATATTTGGTCTGGTATTTAATTCTCAACTGCAACACTAAATGAAACATAGTAATAAAGCCAACTTTACAGAGTTTTAAGGTTAAATTATTATGAATTATATGAATATTTAATTATTGTTCAACTGTAAGGGCAAATAAAAGGAGTATTTGGAAGTGCAAGGACTCAGAAAAAATAAACTTTTCTGAAAGAATTACTCAAGAAGACACTCCATACAACTGAAAAATGAGTTAGAATAAAGAACTTAACATAAAATATAGAAAAAGTGATATTAAATAAACAGTAAAACTTATAATCAAGTCTAAATAGCTTAATGATACAGTTGTAAAGCTTAATGCAGTGGTTAAGCCCATTGTTTTGAAAACTGTTCTTTTATTGTTTTTTCTTTTGAGACCGAGTCTCGCTCTATTGCCCAGGCTGGAGTGCAGTGGCACAATCTCAGCTCACTGCAACCTCCGCCTCTTGGATTCAAGTGATTCTCCTGCCTCAGCCTCCTGAGTAGCTGGGATTATAGGTGTGTACCATCACGCCCAGCTAATTTTTGTATTTTTAGTAGAGAGGGGCTTTAACCATATTGGCCAAGCTGGTCTTGAACTCCTGATCTCAGGTGATCTGGCTGCCTTGGTCTCCCAAAGTGCTGGGATTACAGGCATAAGCCACTGTACCCGGCCCTGAAAACTGTTATTTAATATAATTTGTGTGATTTTTTTTAGTTGGTTCAGGCTAAATTCAGTCCCTGCTACTCCGTCTTAACCAGAAGTAGAGTTCAACTATGTCTTCTTATAGATTAAATTCTCTAAATGTTGCTGGTAGGCAGAAATGCAATTAAAAAAAATACTGGTACATATTACTCAATATTTAAGCATGTCTTATGTATCCTAAATGTTTTAAAGTATTTGTGGGTGTACTCTTTATATAATCTAGTCATCTAAATAATGACAGCTTTGTATGTTTTCTTTTTAATACTCATACCTTTCACATTTACTTGTCTTTTGTGCTAATTTAATGTTGAACAGATGTAGTGGTAGTTAGTATTCTTCACTTGGATATGTCTTACTATTGACAGTGAAATTTGTTGTGATTTTTTTTGGTAACTTTGGTTTTTATGGTTTTCTGCTGTTGTTACTTAGAGATTTGTCGACTTTAAAAATTTCCTTCCATTCTTATTTTAAGATTTTTATCAAGGATACATACTGAATTTTATCAAACACATTTCTTTCTTTTGAGCAGATCATACAGCTCTTCTCCACTGATCTGTAAAGATGGCAAATGACATGAAGAGATTTTCTACTGTTGCACCAGCTTCAAATCAGCCCACCTGGGACGGGCTCTCCAACATATTTGATGGACTGCTAGGTTCCGTTGGCTGAGCCATGCACTCACATACGTGAGTGAAGCCAGCCTGTGCTTTTCATAAGGAGTTATACACTCTCACAGGTACCAAAGTGTTTGTTGAATCTACGAACATTTTGAAGTAAAATCACAACCAAATTTGTGGTTTCCCTTTTCCTCAACACATGATGATCCTGCCATCTTTTGCTTTCTAGCCACAGTAAGAACATTTTTCACTTAGAAATGGGACAGATGAAGAAGGAATGAAGAGAGCACGGTTATGATGGAGGCGAGTGGTAAGGAAGAAGGTGAGGCAGGTGCTCCTGGAGGGAAGAGAAGGTGCTCCACAGAGCTCATCCCTCTGCAGGGCGAGAGGCAGGTGAAAAGGATGGGCACCCAGGACACGCAGGTGGAATAAGCAGGAGAAGGCAGAATTTGGTTTGTCCTCCTCTGGGCATGAAACCTCATTTGCAATGAGTCAAGTGAGGTTCAAATCCCTTTCTAGAGTTTTCCACAAAAAACCCAAACTCCATGTGATAAAAATCATGCATATTTTCCATTCCGGTTGACTCAAGCATAATAATACACCGACAACTATAAATGCCACTCTGTGAGGCTCAGATTTCAGCCGCCAGCCTCATCCTCACCTTCTCACTGGGTGTCTGGGGAATCGCCTCTTTTCTGGTCTGTCCAGATTCCTTATCTCACCCCGTGCAGATCCTCTTGATCCTCCTGTGCTCCACACTAATCTTGTCTTAAGCTGGTCTGTGCAGGGATATTGCTTCCCTGTGTCAGGGACCTTGTTGCTATCTGCATAAAATTCTTGGCCTCTCCATCTGCAATTACTCAAAGTTCACATTAAGTACCACGTCTCTATCAATTACTAAAGAGGCTTTGCTCGCCTCTAATAAATTCTGCAGCACAGAACGTGCTTCTACTGCATTTGTGTGGTTCCGTAGCTTTCTCTTTCTTTTTGAGTCCTCTCTAATTTCTGGTCAAAGGTCTACATGTGATGATAATAATAATCACAATAATCACGATAACACTAAAAAGAAGTTAGCATTCATCCAATCTCATTATGTGCTGGACACTGCACTGGAACCTTATATACATCGTCTCTAATTTTCACAACCTAATGAGACCTAATTTTACAGATAAGAAAACTAAGCTCCCGGCACTGGCTGGCGGCAGGAGGGACGTAGGCGAAAGGCTTACCCCCAGGGCTCTCCCACACAATCCTACCCGTCCTCTGTGCCTGCAGCAGTGCAGGGACCTCGGTTCTGGGCCATTTCACACCCGCTATCTCTCTGAGGTGGAGGAAAGGAGGTGGGAGAGAATTGCTGCAGGAAGAGGCGGCCACCACCCGCCACAGGGACTCGTGACACTGCAGAGGAGCAAAGGCTCCAGAGCGCAGCTCCCAGCACTGAGCCCTCACTGCTGGTGCACAGGGTGGTCTGGGCTCCCCTAGGAGCCACGGGAAGCACGAGCTCGTGGAGTCTGCATCATCCGAGGGCCGGAGCAGCTCTTACTTCATCTCCTTCGTATCTGCACGTCTAAGCCCACTTGAAAATAGTGTCGGCAGGTGGGATGGTGGAGCAGATGCGGGTTCTTGGAAGCAGATCCAAGACAGATGTGTGTGCAGGTGGTGTAGTGGGGAGTGCTGTCAGGAGTAACACCTGGAAGGATTCAGGGAAGCAGCATTGAAAGAGAGGAAGGTAAGCCAGGGTGCAAAGGCAAGAGGCTTCGGCAACCCCATGTGGAATCCCATGCCAGGACGGCCCTGTAGGCACATCCTGAATTGAGGGTTGAGAGCCGAGCCTGTGTGTCCTCCGAGCCGCTCCTGGGAAGGGCCACTTAGGTGAAGCAGCACCTGTCAACCAAAGGCACCTCCGGGGGAGGTCTTGGCTGGGAGCTCTCAGCAAGCAGCACCCCAGATTCTTCCCCCATGGGGCCAAAGGTTGCAACCACTGGCTCAGAGGGCAGAACTGTGATTCGCCGTACGCCCCAGGTACTTGTAAGTTTGGTGTTTATAGCTTCAAATCTTTAAAAATATAGTTTTAATAGCAAGTGATGAAAAATGCACGTTACATTTAAAACAGCAAAATATAAAATAAAGATTTTTTTCTGGCAAGGAAGTCCAGGGAGTCATCAATGCAGATCCCTCCACTGCAGAGCACTCTGGCTCCCCACCCAGCCCCCAGGTGCAGAGAGTCATCCATTCAGGCCTCCACTGCAGAGCACCCTGGCTCCCCACCCAGCCCCCAGGTGCAGAGAGTCATCCATTCAGGCCTCCACTGCAGAGCATCCTGGCTCCCCACCCAGCCCCCTACAAAGCAGGCCAGCACCTGCCAATTAGTGGTGTGCCTGCCCCTCATGAGCCAGGGACCACGGTGGCAATCACACCCAGCTGAGATCAAGGATTAGCAAATCAGCATGGCCCCAGACTGCAGACACTACTGAAGCACTGCAGGCACAAGCTCAGTAGCTGTGCTGTTTTCCTAGGTAAGTAGAGAGTGCAGACTCTCACTGCTGTTCACCCTTGCTCATCCATCAATATGGGCGATTAAGATGAGCGCTGATTCACCATGCCACCCCTATCAAACACCAGCAAATCAACACTCACATATCACCTCTCTTAGGATCTTCATGACTGCCTCCTCTTCTCTTAGAATACACTGTATTTCCTTACTGTTCTCCCAGAAGACTGGATTTTTTTAAAGTCAATCCAAACCCTGCCCTAAATGGGCACCTGCTTGGAAACAGCCCTGAGGAGGCACTGACTTGACCCCATCATCATCCCTGGAGCTGATTCTGCAGCTGCTGCCCTGGTTCCCAGTGCTCTGCATTGGAAACGCATTGTCGATGCTTTAACCAGCACTCACAGAGTGCAGGCAAGAGGCTTCCTTCCTTGCCTGGCACCTGTCCTGTCTGCTCTCAGTCTTACCTGAAGAAAAGTCACTTCCTTCACCCCGATTGACTGGCATAGCAGAAGCTGAGACCTTTACTGCAAGAACAGCATCCTCGGCTCCCAGTGGACCTTCCATGACCTGAGGGCCACCCGGGAAACAAGTGACCCCATGAGGACAAGATCACAGGCCTGAGGGCCACCTGAGAAACAAGTGACCCTATGAGGACAGAGCACAGAGGTCAGCACAGATGAAAACAGCCTGTATTTACCTGTCTTGAAATGCCCAGAAAGCCAAGCTGAAGAGCCGTGGAGAGTCCAAGCTGCCCTGGCCCCTGCAGCCGGGACTGGGGATTCCTGTCTTGCGCTGGTGCAATCATGCATTCGTAGCTTGGGGAGGCTGAGCTTCAAGCCTTCTCTGATTCTGCTTCACCTGGGCGGGAGAACGTGGGTTCACTTTTTTCTAAGTTTGCCCCGTATTTGATTTCTAATGGACTCAAAGGGAAATGTGTAGCCTTTGGGTAGCTCTCCTTGTCTCCTGGGCCATCAACTTAATCAATATCTATCTATTGGACACTCTGTGTGCAAGACACTAAAACCGGGTGAGAAGAAACAGATGAGGAAAAATGAGCCACTAACACTTGGTCAAAACTCTGGTTCTTCAGAGCCCTAGACTTCCACATCTCCCTGTGAGATGCAAGGATTGGGTAGGGCTGAAGGACACAGCTGCAAACAGAAGTGAATGAGTGATCAAAAGGTGGTCTGGGAGGACCCAGGGAGCTGTGAGCACCTTAGCTGCCCAGCTCCCTTTGTGACAACCCCTGAAATGAAGACAGAATCATCCCAGCACTTATTACCAATGCTGTCCTGGGGCCCCAGGGAGGGCTCAGAACTTTGATACAGTCCTTTCTTCATGTTGTTTGTATCAATAACCACATCACAATAGTAAATAAATGACCTGGACAGAAAGGTAGAACAAGAGGATTAGAGTTTTCAAGTGGAACTGGTATCATTATCCAACGTTTAGAACAAATTAATTCAAAATTCAGTAGCTTAGACAAGAAACACCTATTACCTCACCTGGCTTCTGTGGGCCAAGAGTCCAGAGAGGCCTAGATGGGTAGTTCCAGCTTGGTGTCCTTCAGTCACAATGTCAGCAGGCTGCATCATCTGAAAGCTTGACTGTGGCAGGAGGACCAGACCCCCATGACCCCTTCCACCTCCAGTGCTTGCCATGTTGACCTCTCCGTGGGCTCCCTGGGCATCTTCGTGACAAGGTGAAAGTCTCGGTGCCTTTTAGGGCCTGGATTTGGAAGTAACACACCATCACTTCTGCTGTGTCTTATCAGTGCTGAAGAGAACTGTCAGGGAAGATTGCTGGGGCCATCCTGAAAGCCATCACAGTCTGGCCTCAGGCCCCAGTGATTCGCGTTCTTCCTACTCACGGAATACATGTGTCCCCTTCCACAGCCCAGTAAGCCTCATCCCTTCGCAGCTCAGCCCAAAGCCCAGAATTTCAGCACCTAGGTTAGGTCCGGCTGTGGGAGATGGGCCTGGTTTTGCTCTTTAATAAAGAGACAAGTTATCTGCTCAGCTTTAAACTCCCCAGCCACATCCAATATACAGTGGTGAGGTAAGCATAGGATGGCTCCTTAAGACATTCCTATTCTACAACCGATTTTGAGTTAATTTTTGTATGAGGTATGTAGGTCAGGGTTCTTGTCTCTTTTTTTCATGTTTGTTCAATTGTTTGAGCCTACAGTTTGACATAACTATTCTTTTCTGTACTGAATTGCCTTTATGACTTTGTTTAAAAAAAAAAAGCTGATCCTACTGTGTGAATCAATTGATCTATGTGTCTGATCTTTCACAGAACCATACTGTCTTGATTATTGTAGTATTATAATAAATATTAAAACCAGGTTGTGTAAGCCTTCAACTTTATTCTTTTTCAAAATTGTTTTGGATACTCTCATTCCTCTACCTTTCATGTAAGTCTTAGAACCAACTTGTCAATATCTACAACATCTATCTCTATCTATCCATCTCTATCTCTCTATCCTTTATGTGTGTTCTCTCTATTAGTCGTCTGTCTCAACTTGGGCAGAACTGTTATTTTAGTAATATTGAAGCTTCCAATTCAGGAATACAATATATCTTTCCATTCTTTTAAGTTATCATTGGTTTCATTCATTAGCATTTTGTACTTTTAAGCACACATGTCCTCCACATTTTTTGCTGTACGTACATCTAAATATTTCTCTCTTTTTTGGTGCAATTGAAATAGTACTTTTAAAAAATCTCAATTCCAATTGTTCATTCAGAAATACAATTGATTTTTTCATATTAAATATGTATCCTGTGAACTTGCCAAACTCACTTATTAGTTATAGGAGCCACTAAGGTGCCTTTGGAGATATTCTGCATAGAAAATAATGTAAGTCGCAAGTGTTTCTTTCCAACCTATATGCCTTTTGTTTTTTGGGTTTTTTGTTTGTTTGTGGGATTTGTGTATGGTTTTTTGTTTGTTTGTTTGTTTTTTGCCTGATTGCACTGAGACTTTCTGCACCATGTGGACTGGGAGCAGTGAAACCTGACATTCTTGTCTTGCTTCCCACCTTAGGAAGAAAGCTCTATCTTCCACCACCAAGTGTGGGGTCCAATGCAGTTTCCTGTAGCTGCCCTTTATTGAGATAAGAGACTTTTCTAAGGTTTTTGAGCATCTTTATTATAAATGGACATTGAGACTTGTCACATGCTTTTTCTACATTAATTTTTAATGTTGAGATAGACTTGCATTTCTGGGATAAACCCCACTAAGTCATGGTGTATTATCATTTTTACATATTGCTAGAGTTGATTTGCTAATGCTTTGTTGAGAACTTTTGCAACTATGTTCATGAGGGATATTTGTAAGAATCTCTTTTTTTAGAATATCTTTGTGTAGTTTTTGTATAAAGGTAATATTTATTGAGCAGTGTTTTCTCTTCTTCTATTTTCTGGAAGAGATTTTGCAGAATTGGTATTATTTCTTTCTTAAATGCTGGTGGAATTCACCAGTAAAACAATCAAGGCCTGAAGTTTGCTAATTAGGAAGGTTGTAATTAAAAATTCAACTTCTTTAGTAGATATAGGACTATTCATGTTGCCTGTTTTTCTTGAATGGGCGTTAGTAATTTATGATTATCAAGAAATTAGTCCATTTTATCTGAACTGTCAACCCTACAGGCAGATAGTCATTTGTGGTGTTCCTTTATTACCCTTTTCATGTCTGTAGGGTCTACAGTGATGCCCACTCTTTTATTTCTAACATTGGAAAATTGTGTCTTCTTTCTTTTTCTCATGGTTATTCTCACTAGAGTTTTATCAGTTTTATTATCTTGTTAGAGAAACAGCCTTTGGATTCATTGATTTTCTCTTCTGCTTTTCTGTTTTTAATTTGACTGCTTTAGTCTCTTACCTTTATTATTATATTCCTTTTACTTACTTTGGGTTTAATTTACTCTTCCTTAACTAGTTTCTATAGGGGAAAATGTGATTATTGATTTAGGAGTTTTGTTATATTCTAATAAAACATTCCATGTTCTAGATTTCTAACACAACATTTTATGTCACAAATTTCCTTCTAAGCTCTGTTTTAGCTGCATCCTACAAAGTTTAATATGATGAATTTTTATTTTCATTCAGTTCACAATATTTTCACTAATTTCACTTGAGAATTACTAGTGATCCATAAGTTATTTCAGAAGTGTGCTGTTTAATTTTCAAGTATTTGTGTATCATTCCAATAATATTCCATTATTGACTTCTATTTTATTTGTTATGTACCAAGAACATGCTTTGAATGATTTCTTTTTTAAGTTTAGGCTTTACTTTATGCTCCAGAACATGGCCTATCTTTCAGAATGTTCCATGTGCACTTGAAAAACCAATGTGTATTTTGCTCTTTTGGGGTGGAAAGTTCTATATATGACAATTAGATCAAGTTTTTTGTGTTGTTTGCATCTTCTATATCCTTCATTTTATGAAGCCAGCATCATCCTGATACCAAAACCAGGAAGAGACACAACAAAAAAAGAAAACTTCAAGCCAATATCCCTGATGAACATAGATATGAAAATAATTCTCAATAAAATACTGGCAACCCAAATCCACCAGCACATCAAAAAACTTGTCCATCATGATCAAATTGGCTTCATCCCTGGGATGCAAGGCAGGTTCAACATACACAAACCAATAAACGTAATCAGTCACATAAACAGAACCAAAGATAAAAACCACATGATTATCTCAATAGATGCAGAAAAGGACTTTGATAAAATTCAACATCCCTTCATGTTAAAAACCTCAATAAACTAGGTATTGATGGAACATATCTCAAAATAATAAGAGCTATTTATAACAAATCCACAGCCAATATCATAATGAATGGGCAAAAGCTGGAAACATTCCCTTTGAAAACCAGTACAAGACAAGGATGCCCTCTTTCTCCACTCCTATTCAAAATAGTATTGGAAGTTCTGGCCAGGGCAATCAGGCAAGAGAAAGAAATAAAGCATATTCAAATAGGAAGAGAGGAAGTCAAATTGTCTCTGTCTGCAAACAACATGATTTTATATTTAGTAAAACCCCATCATCTTAGCCCAAAAACTCCTTAAACCGATAAGCAACTTCAGCAAAGTATCAGGATACAAAATCAATGTGCAAAAATCACAAGCATTCCTTTACACCAACAATAGACAAGCAGAGAGCCAAATCATGAATGAATGCCCATTCACAATCACTACAAAGAGAATAAAATACCTAGGAATACAGCTAACAAGGGACGTGAAAGACCCCTTCAAGAAGAACTACAAACCACTGCTCAAGGAAATAAGAGAGGACACAAACAAATGGAAAAATATTACATCCTCATGAATAGAAAGAATCAATATCATGAAAATGACCATACTGCCCAAAGTAATTTATAGATTCAATGCTATTCCCATCAAACTACCATTGACATTCTTCACAGAATTAGAAAAAAAAAAAACTATTTTAAATTCCATAGGAATCAAAGAAGACCCCGTATAGCCAAGACAATCTTAAGCAAAAAGAACAAAGCTGGAGGCATCACGCTACCTGATTTCAAACTATACAAGGCTACAGTAACCAAAACGGCATGGTACTGCTACCAAAACAGATATGTAGACCAATGGAGCAGAACAGAGACCTCAGAAAATACACCACACATCTACAACCATCTGATCTTCGACAAACCTGACAAAAACAAGCAATGGGGAAAGGATCTCCTATTCAGCAAATGGTGCTGGGAAAACTGGCTAGCCATATGCAGACTACTGAAACTGGATCCCTTCCTTACACTTTATACAAATATTAACTCAAGATGGATTAAAGACTTAAATGTAAAACCCAAAACCATGAAAACCCTAGAAGAAAACCTAGGTAATACCATTCAGGACATAGCATGGGCAAAGACTTCATAACAAAAAAGCCAAAAGCAATGGCAACAAAAGCCAAAATTGACAAATGGAATCTGATTAAAATAAAGAGCTTCTGCACAGCAAAAGAAACTATTATCAGAGTGAACAGGCAACCTACAGAATGGGAGAAAATGTTTGCAATCTACCCATCTGAAAAAGGCCTAATATCTAGAATTTACAAGCAACTCCTTGCTGATTTTCACTTGAATCATCCTATCAATTACAGAGACAGATATAATGACATTTTCAAATATAATTGTGAATTTGTCTATTTCTGTATTCAGTTGTATTTCTTTCACTTTATATATTTCGGAGCCCTCCTAGTTATTGACCCTGTTACCTTTATGCAATACCCCTCTTTATTTCTGGTAATTTTCCATGTTCTAAAGTCTACATTGTCTGATATTAATACAAGCAATCAAATTTCTTTTCAATAGTGTTTGCATTGTACATCTACTTTTATTCTTCTACTTTTAACCTATGTCAGCATATTTAAAGTTGTTTTCTTATAAACAACATACAGCTGAGTCTTTGTTTTTAGCCCAATCTGACATACTCCATTATTTAATAGGCGAGTTAAGACCATTTATATTTCATGTAATCATTGATTTGTTTGTATTTAGGTCTACTATATTAAGATTTGTTTTTTATTCGTTCCCTCAGTTTTGATATCTCTGTTCCTATTTTCTTGCTTTCTTCTTAATTATTTGGATTGCTTTAGTATTGTATTTTTCTGTTATCTTTTTTGTTATGGCTTCTTGTTTGTCTTTTGTTTGTTTGTTTTTCTTTGTTTTTTTAGTAATCGCTCTTGTGATTACTTACTCTTGTGATTATAGACAAATATCCCTCATAAACATAGTTGCAAAAGAAGTCCTCAACAAAGCATTAGCAAATCAACTCTAGCAATATGTAAAAATGATAATACACCATGACTTAACATTTACCTAAAATTTTAGTCTAATTATATTTAATATTTTACCACTTTATTCAAAATATGGAAGGTTTACAAACATGTAGCTCTGCTTGTTCTCCCCTTTTATTTTATAGCTTCATAAATATTATCTATCATTATTGAATACCACCTAGTAAATGTTATAATTTTTGCTTTCAGAGTGATGTTTAAGAGGGAAACAAGAATAGCTTGATATATTTACTCATATGTTTGCCTTCTCTCACTCTTCTTACTTTTTGAAGTTCCAGGATTCCTTTTGATATCATTTCTCTTCAGCGTCAATAATTTCATTTAGTATTTTCTCAAGAGCAGTTCTGCTTATGAGTTCTTTTTGTTTTCATTTATCTGAGAATGTCCTTATTTTGCTACCATTCTTCTGCATATTTTCACTGGTATAGAATTTTTGGTTGGCCATCATCTTTCAGCATTTTAAGGATATTGTTCCACTGTCTTCCAGGTTCCATGGTTTCTGATAAGAAATTTAAGTTGTTCAAATTATTATTTCCTGCATGTAATGCAGTGCTTTTCTTTGCCTGCTTTCATGATGTTTATTTATCTTTTATTTTTAGTACTTCGACTATAATGTGCTTTGGTGTGATTTCCTTTGAGTTTATTCTGTATGGGGCTCTCTGATCTTCTTCAATCTGTACATCTGTCTTTCAGTTCAGCATGTCTGGCCATACTTTCTTCAAATTCCACACCAATCTCTTTCTTCTGTCTCTTTAGGACTCTACTGTCGTAAATGTTAAGCTTTTGATATTTCCTCACAGGTCTATTTATTTTCTATTCAATCCTTTTTTCTCTGTTTTTTTAGATTGAATAATTTCTATGATTTAATCTTCAAGTTCACAGACTGTAAGTTCCATGACCTCCATTGTGCTATTGAGCCCCTCCAGTGATTTTTTTTTAATTTCAGAGATTGTATTTTTCAGTTCTAACATTTCCATTTGGTTGTATTTTATAGTTCTATTTCTCTGATGAGGCTTTTCTGTCATATCAAGAATGTTTGCCTTTACCTCAGGATACATGATTAAAGTAGGTTCTTTCAGTTCTTTCCCTGATAATCTCAACATCTTCCTCATTCTGGTTTGAAAACTATCAACACTACATTTCCTTCAGAATTGAGAGGTCCTATGGGGAGATAACTTACTACAAATCCAAATTTATAATTGACATAGAGATATGTAAGTATTCAATTTACCAATTTCACTTTTGGTAATTTGTGTCTTTGAAAAATGTGATTCATTTCATCTAGATTACAAAATTTATTGGCATAGAGTTACTCATAATATTCGCTTTTTGCCTTTTAACTGTCTGATCTATAGAGATGTTTTTTCTTTTGTTCCTGTTATTGGTAATTTGAGTTTCTTCTGTTTTCACCCCCTCCATTGACTAGTCTAACTGAAGGTTCATAAATTCTTAAAGAACCAGTTTTTGTTTCACTGATATTTATTTATTTTAGTTTTGATTTTAATAATTTCTACCCCTCTTTTTATTATTTTTTTTCTTCTTACTTTTGGTTTAATTTTCTTTTACTAATATCTTAAGTTGGTAACTCAGATTACTGGATGTAGACTATTTTTCTAAAATGTGAATTTAAATCTACAAATTTCCCTCGTTACTATGTTAGCTGCATCCCATAACTATTGAAATGTATTTTTATTATTTAGCTAAAAATATTTTCTGATTTTCTTTTTAATTTTACTCATGGATTATTTACAAATGTGTTGTTTAATTTCCAAATATCTGGGGGCGTCCCAGTTATATTTATGGTGAAGCTCTTTAACTTAACTTTATTGTAGTCGAGAGCATACTCTATGTGACATCAATCTTCTTAAATCTGATGAGACTTGTTTTAGGCTACAGAATCTGGCACCTGCTGGAGTAGCACACACAGGTGAAAAGAATTTGTATTCTGCTGCCATAAGGTATAGTGCTCTACAAATATCAGTAAACTCAAGGTCAATAGTGGGGTTTTTTTGGTTGTTTTGTTTTGTTTTGAGATAGAGTTTCGCTCTTGTTGCCCAGGCTGGAGTGCAATGGCATGATCTCGGCTCACTGCAACCTCCGCCTCCCAGGTTCAAATGATTCTCCCGCCTCAGGCACCCAAGTAGCTGGGATTACAGGCATGCACCACCACACCCGGTTAGTTTTTGTATTTTTAGTAGGGACAGGGTTTCACCATGTTGGCCAGGCTGGTCTCAAACTCCTTACCTCAGGTGATCCACCTGCCTTGGCCTCCCAAAGTGCTGGGATTACAGGCATGAGCCACCACACCTGGCCAATAGTGTTTTTTAGTTATTCTTTTTTTCTGATCTTTTGTCTAGTTCTTCTATAAATTGCTGATATGGGGTTTAAAGTATCCAACTCTGATTGTGGAATTTTCTATTTCTCCTATATTTCTATCCATTTTTCTTCATGTATTTAGAAGCTCCATTATTAGATACTACACATTTATAATTATTGTGTTTTCTGACTAAATGAGCCTTTTGTTATAAAGTGCTCTTTATCTCTGGTAATGTTTTTGTCTTAATATCTATTTTCTGATAGAAAGATACCCACTTGAGGCTGTTATGCTTTATGCTTGTGTGGTATATCTTTTCTTGAATCTATTCACATCAACCCATCTGTGACTTTATATTTAAAGTCAGATTTCCTTTAAAAAGCATGGAGTTGGGTGTTGCATTTGTATTCACTGGAGAATCTCTTCTCTTCATTGCAATGTTTAACATGATGTGAGTTAAACACTGATGTAACATTTGGTGTAATATGGTTATGTTTGACTCTACCGTTTGAGAACAGTAGTTGCCTCTTATTGGAAGTGTTCATTTCTGTAGTTTCAGTTCCCTGCAGTCGACCATGATCTGAAAATAGGTGCATACAGTACAATAAGATATTTTGAGAGAGAGAAATCACACACACATCACTTTTATTATTGTATATTGTTATATTAGTTACTGTTGCTAATTTCTTACTGTTCCCAACTTATAAATTAAGCTTCATTATAGGTGTGTGTGTATACAGAAAAAATATCATATATCTAGGGCTTGGTACTATCCACTGGGGGTCTTGGAACGTCTTCGCCACAGGTAAAGGGAACCACTGCATTTGTTTCCTATTCATTCTTTCTGGGTTTTGTTGTTGTTATTCCTTTCTTACGTGCTTTCTTTGGGTTGTTTAAACTCTTCTCATGGGAACTTCAGCGAGGCTTTAAGTCATCTGGATAGCCCAGAAAATAAAATAATCTTGGATTGCTAACTCCATTTGGTGCCTGGAAAAAGGAAGAGAAAATTATCTCTGGAGGAAGATAACATTATATAAGGCCTCAAAGTATTTCTGCAAATACATATATGGCATACACACACACAGATATATATATATATATGAAAAATATATGCTAATCAACATCAGATAACAGCAGTGAAAATAATATTCATGACACGAGCAGAATGGGCACCTCATCCCCCACCTTCCTTCTCGCTTAACTGGATTTCAAAGTCAGAGCCTCCTCAGGACCCCAGATTAGTGTCACCTAAACCACCTCAGGTACATCAGCTGCAAGAAGACTTGGAGGACAGAGTTTAGGTTTCACGTCCCTGAGCTTCTGGACGGTTCCTGAAAAGGAGTTGGTGTGGACACAGCACAGCCTCCTGTTGCCCCCAGCACATCCCTCGTCTCCTAGCAGATGAGGCCTCCAGATAACCCCACTCCGCTCCCTGTAATGATGGAATGGTCCAGGGTGTATACTTTAAAACACACCTGGACCAGATCAACACTTCCTCATAGCAGGAAAATAAGGACGCGAATGCAATCCTGTGACCAGAAAGAGTGCACTCTATCTGGGAAAGACGCTAAGTTTAAAAAAGCTCCAGTTTACACAAAAGATCTGATTGTTATGATAAGCATATGATGAAAAGTGGCTCACCCTAATGGAAAGTGGCTCAGTTTGAATTAACTCGTACAGCCAGGTCCCATGTCCCGATGGAGAGTTCGCTGCAGATGGAAGCTAGAAGTCAACATTTTCCATGCACGGAAGTCTCTTGGGCACCAAAGGTCTAGAACCCCTCCCCGCTGCTTCTAGTGCCCACAGGGCTCCCTACCATCATTGTGAAATCAGGAAGTTGATTGTGAGTGTGCCTGCAGGTCCTTTCTTGTCCGGTGCAGGGATACTTTTTCTCGTGATGACAGAGAGCAAGCGCCTGCAGCTGCGTGTCCACCACACGCCTGGCCTGTCTCAGAGGCGTGGGCTGCAGGCACTTCACAGGCATTGCTTGTGTCATGGCAGCAACTTCAGATCAGGCTTTTGAACAGGAGTCTGTCATTCTGGTGGGCCATGGAGTGAGTCAGTAGCTGTTACTCATTAAACAAAAGGAATCTTCTGTGAGCTGACGGCTTCTTCAGAGTCGGATGGAGGGGCTGCTGTGGAGATCAGGCGCATCCTGACAGGCTGGTTCTGGTAGGCACGAAAGGTTCAGAAGAAAGAATTTCAAAAGATAAAAATGCCCCCAGCAGAAACAATGAATAGCAAGCACACGCGTGCCACCCCACACGCGGAAGTCACACAAAGCTGATCGGGTTTCGTGTGCTCCTCGTGTTCCACGGAGCACCTCATCTGGAGTGGGCAGGTGGCTCCCTCGGGTCTCTCTCCTTCTGATGATAAACCCCCCAGAGCGGGGGTACAGCTCTTTACCGCTTCCTTTGCAAGTCTACGTGGCATTTACGAGTCAACCCAGTCATAAAGCAAGTAAGTCTCCAACCTCCGGTGTCTAGTCACAGTTAACCGTTTCAGCCTCTCTAGGCTGTGGCCATAGCCATGGGCTCACTGATGGTGGTTAATATTAACAACCCGTATTTCCATAGAGGTTTGCGGTAGGTAAAGTTTCATCCTCATCTCCATGGTAGGTTATTATTGTCAATACAGGGAAACAGGCCCTGAGAGATTCAGTCAACTGCCCAAGTCAGTGGTCTGAATGAGTAGTAACTGGTTTCTGTCTCTCTCAGTTCAGAGCTCTCAGCGGTGCCCCACCGGGTCCCCTCTGTCCTGAGCAGAGGCCACACATCCCACGTCTGTGGCCGTGTCATTCTTGGGGTGGAAATTTTGGAACTTGTAACACTACATGGTCACTTGGCTATATTTACTGAAATTGATTGTTGTTAAGTCTACTTCAATCCAGATCATAACTCAGATATATCAGAGGTATCATTCAGATATTATCCAAATTATAATAATTATACCAAATTATAATTTTAATAAAGTGGTAAAATCTTTACTAATAAAACATAAAGTCCAGTGCAGGAGACATTGCTGTGTCATGGTCCCTAAATATCAGAAATTTGGATTTTTTTTTAAAGTCCTATTTTTATACAAAAATTACCCAGACGTGGTGGCAGGCAACTGTAATCCCAGCTACACCCTGGAGGCGGAGGTTACAGTGAGCTGAGATCACACCATTGCACTCCAGCCTGGGCAACAAGAGCAAAACCTCGAAAAAAAAATCCTATTTTTACTTAAGAGTGCATGTGTTTTATATGTGTGTATGTATTCATCTTGTTCTCGATGAGAAAACATATTGGAACTTATATCAGTTCATGTTTTCCCTGCTGAAATATAGTTGAAGTTAGTTTATTCTCTACTGAAAAGGAAAATAATGCTTAACATAAAAGCATAGATCAATTTAAGTATCAGTGCATCACAACCAAGACCACACTGAAAGAAAATATCTGAATACACATATTTTTTATTATTAAGGTATTTTATGTTTATTTAATACATTTTCAAATGATTAAAGTATACGAAGTAGAAAACTCATATGCTTTAATGACTTAGTCAAGTTCCCCACATACATCCTTCGCTGGCTGCCTGGGGTCAAACCCTTCCTCTACAAATTGTGATCTTTGTGACCTCTGGCAAGTTACGGAACTTCTGTGCCCCTCCTGTACAATGGGGAGAAAAATGGAATCTGGCTGTTGCCAGGAGATGAGGATGGAAGCATCTCTTTTGCCCCATACACAGATTATCTCCTCATCCCACCTCGAATTCCGCCTGCAGAGCTGAGACGATGGCCATGAATGCTGCCACAATCCCACCTCACGTGTGCACCTCGTAGTCACTACTTTTCCTCCAGACATTTTCTCAAGCCAGAAGAATGAGCACAGCCCACATCTGAAGCAGCCTGAGAGGCTGGGCCTGCAGGGGAGATACCGGCCCTATGGAAGGCAGTTGGTGGGCAAAAGTCCGGTTTCTACGCTTTGAGGGGACACCTGTGGGGCACCCTGAGGCCCAGCCCTGCTGGGTGAGTATGGCCTGGCTGTGTGTCTTCACAGCTCCTATCACGACTTCAAATTATCTTCCACATTTGTCTCCAGGTGACTAATTACTGAGGTGAGGCCTGCAGTAGTCAGAAGAATTTCCTCCTAATTTTGTTATGAATGTGTGTGCGTATTATATAGCAAATATCTTTGTTTTCTTCCCTCTCTTATCCTGTTATGTAACATAAGATGTATTTAGGTTATAAGATTGTATTCAAGAATTGTGAATTTTACATCATAGAATCTAAGTTGAAAATATCAGAAGAAGCGTAAACCTCACTCAAGGCCTTTATTTCCTTTTCTGGGGAAGAGATTGTGTGTTTTCAGTTGTATGTGGGATTAGCTGTATCACGTTAGGTGGAATGGTGACCTTGGTATCTTCTTTATTTGAGGATAAAGTGTGGTTTTAAGGAAACCCATCAGTGCCAAGGTGACAACGGGTGACGTGATGGTGAATTTTACGTGTCAACTTGATGAGGACACAGGGTGTCCAGATATTTGGTCAGACATTCTGGGTGTGTCTGTGGGGTGTTTCTGGTTGAGATTAATATTTTAATTGTCAGACTGAGTAAAGCAGACTGCCCTCCCTAATGGGGGTGGGCCTCATCCACCCACGAGAAGCCTGGAATAGAATGAAAGGGCCGTCCCTCCTCTGAGAAACGGGGGACTCTGCTGGCTGATGGCCCCCACCTGGAATGCTGGCTCTTCCTGCCCAGCTGCCTTCAAGCTGGGACATTAGCTTTCTGCTGCCTTCAGACTCTAACTGGAACATCTCTTCCTGGGTCTCCAGCCTGCTGGCCTTTGGACTGGAGCTACACCATCAGCTCTCGGAGGTCTCCACTCGCCAACTCACCCTGCAGATCACGGAACTTGTCAGCCTCCATAACTGCAGGAGCCAATGCCTTATAATAAAATCTCTTTCTCTTGTCTTTTCTCTTTCTCTCTCTCTAGATAGATAGATGTATGAAACAAGGAAGCAGAAAAGAAAGAATGATAGAAGATAGACGATAAATAGATAGATAGATGGAAAAAGGAGGAAGAAAAAAAAGGGAGGAAAGAAAGAAAACAAAGAACTGGTATCCCATTGTTTCTGTTTCTCTGGAGAAACCCAGTGAACACAGATTGTGATCCCTCATTAGAATCTAAGTACCAGGAGAACAGAAACCTTGTCTTTCATGATCATAATCCTATAAACAACAAAAAAAATTAACACCTGGGTCATTAGCTCAGAGGAATCCAAGATGGAAATGGCCAGAGGATGGAACAGGTTGTTTTCCCAGATGAAGCCTCCAGGTAAGCATGGACCACTCCTTCAGGATGCAGCCAGGTAAGCGTGGACAATTCCTTCAGGATAGAGGCTGGTAAGTATGAACCATTCCTCCACGGTGTAGCCAGGTAAGCAGGAAGCATTCCTTCAGGATGCAGCCAGGTAAGTATGAAACATTCCTTCAGGATGCAGCTAGGTAAACATGGATCATTTCTTCAGGATGGAGCCGGATAAATGTGAATCATTTCTTCAGGATGCAGCCAGGGAAGTGTGGACAATTCCTTCAGTGTAAAGCCAGGGAAGCGAGGGCCATTATTACTTCAGGATGGAGCCAGGTATGCATAGACCATTCCCTCAGGATGGAGCCAAGTAAGCATGGACAATTCCTTCAGGATGCAGCCAGGTAAGCACAGACCTTTCCTTTAGGGTGCAGCCAGGAAACTGTGGACCATTTCTTCAGGATGGAGCCAGGTAAGCGTGAAACATTTCTTCAGGATGCAGCCAAGTAAGCACAGACCTTTGCTTTAGGGTGCAGCCAGGTAACTGTGGACCATTTCTTCAGGATGCAGCCAGGTAAGCATGAACCTTTCTTCTGAATGGATCATTTCTTCTGGATGGAGCCAGCTAAGCATGGACCATTCCCTTAGGATAAAGCCAGGTAAGTTTGGACCATTTTCTCAGAATGCAGCCAGGTAACCAAGGACCACTCGTTCAGGATACAGCCAGGTAAGTGTGGATCATTCCTTCAGGATGCAGCCAGGTAAGCATGGATCAATCCTTCAGGATGCGGCCAGGTAAGCGTGGAACATTCCTTCAGATGGAGCAAGGTAAGCATGGACCATTTTTTCAAGATAAAGCCAGGTAAGCATGGATCATTCCTTCCAAATGGAGCCAGGTAAGTATGGGCCATTCATTCAGGGTGAAGTGAGATAAGTATGGGCCATTCATTCAACATGGAGCCAGGTAAGCATGGACCATTACTTTAGGGTACATACAGGTAAATATGAGCCAGTATTTCAGGATGGAGCCAGGTAAGTGTGAATGTTTCATTAAGGAGGGAGCCAGGTAAGCATGGGACATTCCTTCAGAATAGAGCCAGGTAAGCATGGACCATTCCTTCTGGATGCAGCCAGGTAAACATAAAACAATTTTTCAGGATGGAGCCAGGTAACCCTGGACCATTTCCTCAGGATGCAGACAGGTAAGCATGAACCATTCCTTGAGGATGCAGATATAAAAGTGTGGACCATACCTTCAGAATGGAGCAAGGTAAGTGTAGACCATTTGATCAGGATGCAGCCAGGTAAGCAGGGACCATTCTTCAGCATGCAGGTAGGTAAGTATGAACCATTTCTTTAGGATGCTGCCAGGGTAGCATGGATCATTCCGTCAGGATGCAGCCATGTAGGCATGGATCATTCCCTCAAAATGGAGCCAGGTAAGCACTGACCATTCCTTCAAGATTCAGTGAGTTAAGTGTGGGTCATTCCCTCAGGATGCAGCCAGGTAATCAGGGACCATTCCTTCAGAATACAGCCAGGTAAGCAAGGAGTGTTTCCTCAGGATGGGCCCAGGTAAGCATGGACCATTCCTTCAGGATGGAGCCAGTTAAGTGTGGACCATTCCTTCAGACTACAGCCAGGTAAGCATGGACTGTTTCTTCAGGATGGGCCCAGGTAAGCATGGACCATTCCATCAGGATGGAGTCAGGTAAGTGTGGACCATTACTTCAGGATGGAGCCAGGTAAGTGTGGACCATTCCTTCAGAATACAGCCAAGTAAGCATGGACTGTTTCTTCAGGATGGGCCCAGGTAAACATGGACCATTCCTTCAGGATGGAGTCAGATAAGTGTGGACCATTCCTTCAGGATGGAGCAAGGTAAGCATGGACTGTTTCTTCAGGATGGGCCCAGGTAAGCATAGACCATTCCTTCAGGAGAGAGCCAGGTAAGTGTGGACCATTCCTTCAGAATACAGCCAGGTAAGCATGGACTGTTTCTTCAGGATGGGCCCAGGTAAGCATGGACCATTCCTTCAGAGTGGAGTCAGGTCAGTGTGGACCATTCCTTCAGGATGGAGCCAGGTAAGTGTGGAACATTTCTTCAGAATACGGCCAGGTAAGCATGGACTGTTTCTTCAGGATGGGCCCAGGTAAGCATGGACCATTCCTTCAGGATGGAGTCAGGTAAGTATGGACCATTCCTTCAGAATGCAGCAAGGTAAGCATGGACTGTTTCTTCAGGATGGGACCAGGTAAGCATGGACCATTCCTTCAGGATGCAGTCAGGTAAGTGTGGACCACTCCATCAGGATGCAGCAAGGTAAGCATGGACTGCTTCTTCAGGATGGGCCCAGGTAAGCATGGACTATTCCTTGAGGATGGAGCCAGGTAATCAGTGACCATTCCTTCAGAATACAGCCAGGTAAGCATGGACTGTTCCTTCAGGATGGGCCCAGGTAAGCATGGACCATTCCTTCAGGATGGAGCCAGGTAAGTGTGGACCATTCCTTCAGAATACAGTCAGGTAAGCATGGACTGTTTCTTTGGGATGGGCCCAGGTAAGCATGGACCATTCCTTCAGGATGGATTCAGGTAAGAATGGACCATTCCTTCAGAATGGAGCAAGGTAAGCATGGACTGTTTCTTCAGGATGGGCCCAGGTAAGCATGGACCATTCCTTCAGGATGGAGCCAGGTAAGTGTGGACCATTCCTTCAGAATACAGCCAGGTAAGCATGGACTGTTTCTCCAAGATGGGCCCAGGTAAGCACGGACCATTCCTTCAGGATGGAGCCAGGTAAGTGTGGACCATTTCTTCAGAATACAGCCAGGTAAGCATGGACTGTTTCTTCAGGATGGGCCCAGGTAAGCATGGACCATTCCTTCAGAGTGGAGTCAGGTAAGTGTTGACCATTCCTTCAGGATGGAGCAAGGTAAGCATGGACTGTATCTTCAGGATGGGCCCAGGTAAGCATGGACCATTCCTTCAGGATGGAGCCAGGTAAGTGTGGACCATTCCTTCAGAATACAGCCAGGTAAGCATGGACTGTTTCTTCAGGATGGGCCCAGGTAAGCATGGACCAGTCCTGCAGGATGGAGCCAGGTAAGTGTGGACCATTTCTTCAGAATACAGCCAGGTAAGCATGGACTGTTTCTTCAGGATGGGCCCAGGTAAGCATGGACCATTCCTTCAGGATGGAGTCACGTAAGTGTGGACCATACCTTCAGGATGGAATCAGGTAAGCAGGGACCATTCCTTCAGAATACAGCCAGGTAAGCATGCACTGTTCCTTCAGGATGGGCCCAGTTAATCATGGACCATTCCTTCAGGATGGAGTCACGTAAGTGGGGACCATTCCTTCAGGATGGATCAAGGTAAGCATGGACTGTTTCTTCAGGATGGGCCCAGGTAAGCATGGACCATTCCTTCAGGATGGAGCCAGGTAAGTGTGAACCATTCCTTCAGAATACAGCCAGGTAAGCATGGACTGTTTCTTCAGGATGGGCCGAGGTAAGCATGGACCATTCCTTCAGGATAGAGCCAGGTAAGTGTGGACCATTCCTTCAGAATACAGTCAGGTAAGCATGGAGTGTTTCTTCAGGATGGGCCCAGGTAAGCATGGACCATTCCTTCAGAGTGGAGTCAGGTAAGTGTGGACCATTCCTTCAGGATGGAGCAAGGTAAGCATGGACTGATTCTTCAGGATGGGCCCAGGTAAGCATGGACCATTCCTTCAGGATGGAGCCAGGTAAGTGTGGACCATTCCTTCGGAATACTGCCAGGTAAGCATGGAGTGTTTCTCCAGGATGGGCCCAGGTAAGCATGGACCATTCCTTCAGGAGGGAGCCAGGTAAGTGTGGACCATTCCTTCAGAATACAGCCAGGTAAGCATGGAGTGTTTCTTCAGGATGGGCCCAGGTAAGCATGGAACATTCCTTCATGATGGAGTCAGGTAATTGTGGACCATTCCTTCAGAATACAGCCAGGTAAGCATGGACTGTTTCTTCAGGATGGGCCGAGGTAAGCATGGACCATTCCTTCAGGATGGAGTCACATAAGTGTGGACCATTCCTTCACGATGGAATCAGGTAGGCAGGGACCATTCCTTCAGAATACAGCCAGGTAAGCATGGACTGTTTCTTCAGGATGGGCCCAGGTAAGCAAGGACCATTCCTTCAGGATGGAGCCAGGTAAATGTGGACCATTCCTTCAGGATGGAGCAAGGTAAGCATGGACTGTTTCTTTAGGATGGGCCCATGTAAGCATGGACCATTCCTTCAGGATGGATTCAGGTAAGTATGGACCATTCCTTCAGAATGGAGCAAGGTAAGCATGGACTCTTTCTTCAGGATGGGCCCAGTTAAGCATGGACCATTCCTTCAGGATGGAGCCAGGTAAGTGTGGACCATTCCTTCAGAATACAGCCAGGTAACCATGGACTGTTTCTTTGGGATGGGCCCAGGTAAGCATGGACCATTCCTTCAGAATGGAGCCAGGTAAGTGTGGACCATTCCTTCAGAATACAGCCAGGTAAGCATGGACTGTTTCTTCAAGATGGGCCCAGGTAAGCACGGACCATTCCTTCAGGATGGAGCCAGGTAAGTGTGGACCATTTCTTCAGAATACAGCCAGGTAAGTATGGACTGTTTCTTCAGGATGGGCCCAGGTAAGCATGGACCATTCCTTCAGGATGGAGCCAGGTAAGTGTGGACCATTCCTTCAGAATACAGCCACGTAAGCATGGACTGTTTCTTCAGGATGGGCCCAGGTAAGCATGGACCATTCCTTCAGGATGGAGCCAGGTAAGTGTGGACCATTTCTTCAGAATACAGCCAGGTAAGCATGGACTGTTTCTTCAGGATGGGCCCAGGTAAGCATGGACCATTCCTTCAGGATGGAGTCACGTAAGTGTGGACCATTCCTTCAGGATGGAATCAGGTAAGCAGGGACCATTCCTTCAGAATACAGCCAGGTAAGCATGCACTGTTTCTTCAGGATGGGCCCAGTTAATCATGGACCATTCCTTCAGGATGGAGTCAGGTAAGTGGGGACCATTCCTTCAGGATGGATCAAGGTAAGCATGGACTGTTTCTTCAGGATGGGCCCAGGTAAGCATGGACCATTCCATCAGGATGGAGTCAGGTAAGTGTGGACCATTACTTCAGGATGGAGCCAGGTAAGTGTGGACCATTCCTTCAGAATACAGCCAAGTAAGCATGGACTGTTTCTTCAGGATGGGCCCAGGTAAACATGGACCATTCCTTCAGGATGGAGTCAGGTAAGTGTGGACCATTCCTTCAGGATGGAGCAAGGTAAGCATGGACTGTTTCTTCAGGATGGGCCCAGGTAAGCATAGACCATTCCTTCAGGATAGAGCCAGGTAAGTGTGGACCATTCCTTCAGAATACAGCCAGGTAAGCATGGACTGTTTCTTCAGGATGGGCCCAGGTAAGCATGGACCATTCCTTCAGAGTGGAGTCAGGTCAGTGTGGACCATTCCTTCAGGATGGAGCCAGGTAAGTGTGGAACATTTCTTCAGAATACGGCCAGGTAAGCATGGACTGTTTCTTCAGGATGGGCCCAGGTAAGCATGGACCATTCCTTCAGGATGGAGTCAGGTAAGTATGGACCATTCCTTCAGAATGCAGCAAGGTAAGCATGGACTGTTTCTTCAGGATGGGACCAGGTAAGCATGGACCATTCCTTCAGGATGCAGTCAGGTAAGTGTGGACTACTCCATCAGGATGCAGCAAGGTAAGCATGGACTGCTTCTTCAGGATGGGCCCAGGTAAGCATGGACTATTCCTTGAGGATGGAGCCAGGTAATCAGTGACCATTCCTTCAGAATACAGCCAGGTAAGCATGGACTGTTTCTTCAGGATGGGCCCAGGTAAACATGGACCATTTCTTCAGGATGGAGACAGGAAAGTGATGATCATGCCTTCAGAATACAGGCAGGTAAGCATGTACTGTTTCTTCAGGATGGGCCCAGGTAAGCATGGACCATTCCTTCAGGATGGAGCCAGGTAAGTGTGGACCATTCCTTCAGAATACAGCCAGGTAAGCATGGACTGTTTCTTCAGGATGGGACCAGGTAAGCATGGACCATTCCTTCAGGATGGAGTCACGTAAGTGTGGACCATTCCTTCAGGATGGAATCAGGTAAGCAAGGACCATTCCTTCAGAATACAGCCAGGTAAGCATGAACTCTTTCTTCAGGATGGGCCCAGGTAAGAATGGACCATTCCTTCAGGATGGAGCCAGGTAAGTGTGGACCATTCCTTCAGAATACAGCCAGGTATGCATGGACTCTTTCTTCAGGATGGGCCCAGGTAACCATGGACCATTCCTTCAGGATAGAGCCAGGTAAGTGTAGAACATTCCTTCAGAATACGGCCAGGTAAGCATGGACTGTATCTTCAGGATGGGCCCAGGTAAGAATGGACCATTCCCTCAGGATGGAGCCAGGTAAGTGTGGACCATTCCTTCAGAATACAGCCAGGTATGCATGGACTCTTTCTTCAGGATGGACCCAGGTAACCATGGACCATTCCTTCAGGATAGAGCCAGGTAAGTGTGGAACATTCCTTCAGAACACGGCCAGGTAAGCATGGACTGTATCTTCAGGATGGGCCCAGGTAAGCATGGACCATTCCTTCAGAATGGAGTCAGGTAAGTGTGGACCATTCCTTCAGGATGGAGCAAGGAAAGCATGGACTGTTTCTTCAGGATGGGCCCAGGTAAGCATGGACCATCCCTTCAGGATGGAGCCAGGTAAGCGTGCACCATTCCTTCAGAATACAGCCAGGTAACCATGGACTGTTTCTTCACGATGGGCCCAGGTAAGCATGGACCATTCCTTCAGGATGCAGCCAGGTAAGTGTGGACCATTTCTTCAGAATACAGGCAGGTAAGCATGGAGTGTTTCTTCAGGATGGGCCCAGGTAAGCATGGACCATTCCTTCAGGATGTAGTCACGTAATTGTGGACCATTCCTTCAGAATACAGCCAGGTAAGCATGGACTGTTTCTTCAGGATGGGCCCAGGTAAGCATGGACCATTCCTTCAGGATTGAGTCACATAAGTGTGGGCCATTCCTTCAGGATGGAATCAGGTAAGCAGGGACCAATCCGTCAGGATGGAGCAAGGTAAGCATGGACTGTTTCTTCAGGATGGGCCCAGGTAAGCATGGACCATTCCTTCAGGATGGAGCCAGGTAAGTGTGGACCATTCCTTCAGAATACAGCCAGGTAAGCATGGACTGTTTCTTCAGGATGGGCCCAGGTAAGCATGGTCCAGTCCTGCAGGATGGAGCCAGGTAAGTGTGGACCATTTCTTCAGAATACAGCCAGGTAAGCATGGACTGTTTCCTCAAGATGGGCCCAGGTAAGCATGGACCATTCCTTCAGGATGGAGTCACGTAAGTGTGGACCATTCCTTCAAGATGGAATCAGGTAAGCAGGGACCATTCCTTCAGAATACAGCCAGGTAAGCATGGACTGTTTCTTCAGGATGAGCCCAGCTCAGCATGGACCATTCCTTCAGGGTGGATTCAGGGAAGTGTGGACCCTTCCTTCAGGATGGAGCCAGGTAAGTGTGGACCATTTCTTCATAATACAGCCAGGTAAGCATGGACTGTTTCTTCAGGATGGGCCCAGGTAAGCATGGACCATTCCTTCAGGATGGAGTCAGGTAAGTATGGACCATTCGTTCAGAATGCAACAAGGTAAGCATGGACTGTTTCTTCAGGATGGGCCCAGTTAAGCATGGACCATTCCTTCAGGATGGAGTCAGGTAAGTGTGGACCACTCCATCAGGATGCAGCAAGGTAAGCATTGACTGCTTCTTCAGGATGGGCCCAGGTAAGCATGGACTATTCCTTGAGGATGGAGCCAGGTAATCACTGACCATTCCTTCAGAATACAGCCAGTTAAGCATGGACTGTTTCTTCAGGATGGGCCCAGGTAAGCATGGACCATTCCTTCAGGATGGAGCCAGGTAAGTGTTGACCATTCCTTCAGAATACAGCCAGGTAAGCATGGACTGTTTCTTCAGGATGGGCCCAGGTAAGCATGAACCAGTCCTTCAGGATGGAGCCAGGTAAGTGTGGACCATTTCTTCAGAATACAGCCAGGTAAGCATGGACAGTTTCCTCAAGATGGGCCCAGGTAAGCATGGACCAATCCTTCAAGATGGAGTCACGTAAGTGTGGACCATTCCTTCAGGATGGAATCAGGTAAGCAGGGACCATTCCTTCAGAATGCAGCCAGGTAAGCATGCACTGTTTCTTCAGGATGGGCCCAGTTAAGCATGGACCATTCCTTCAGGATGGAGTCAGGTAAGTGTGGACCATTCCTTCAGGATGGGCCCAGGTAAGCATGGACCATTCCTTCAGGATGAAGTCAGGTAAGTGTGGACCATTCCTTCAGAATACAGCCAGGTAAGCATGGACTGTTTCTTCATGATGGGCCCAGGTAACCATGGACCATTCCTTCAGGATAGAGCCAGGTAAGTGTGGACCATTCCTTCAGAATACAGCCAGGTAAGAATGGACTGTTTCTTCAGGATGGGCCCAGGTAAGCATGGACCATTCCTTCACAGTGGAGTCAGGTAAGTGTGGACCATTCCTTCAGGATGGAGCAAGGTAAGCATGGACTGTTTCTTCAGGATGGGCCCAGGTAAGCATGGACCATTCCTCCAGCATGGAGCCAGGTAAGTGTGGACCATTCCATCAGAATACAGCCAGGTAAGCATGGAGTGTTTCTTCAGGATGGGCCCAGGTAAGCATGGACCATTCCTTCAGGATGGAGCCAGGTAAGTGTGGACCATTTCTTCAGAATACAGCCAGGTAAGCATGGACTATTTCTTCAGGATGGGCCCAGGTAAGCATGGACCATTCCTTCAGGCTGGAGTCAGGTAAGTGTGGACCATTCCTTCAGGATGGAGCAAGGTAAGCATGGACTGTTTCTTCAGGATGGGCCCAGGGAAGCATGGACCATTCCTTCAGGATGGAGCCAGGTAAGTGTGGACCATTTCTTCAGAATACAGCCAGGTAAACATGGAGTGTTTCTTCAGGATGGGCCCAGGTAAGCATGGACCATTCCTTCAGGATGCAGTCAGGTATTTGTGGACCATTCCTTCAGAATGGAGCAAGGTAAGCATGGACTGTTTCTTCAGGATGGGCCCAGGTAAGCATGGACCATTCCTTCAGGTTGGAGCCAGGGAAGTGTGGACCATTCCTTCAGAATACAGCCAGGTAAGCATGGACTATTTCTTCAGGATGGGCCCAGGTAAACATGGACCATACCTTCAGGATGGAGACAGGAAAGTGTGGATCATTCCTTCAGAATACAGCCAGGTAAGCATGGACTGTTTCTTCAGGATGGGCCCAGGTAAGCATGGACCATTCCTTCAGGATGGAGCCAGTAAGTGTGGACCATTTCTTCAGAATACAGCCAGGTAAGCATGGACTATTTCTTCAGGATGGGCCCAGGTAAACATGGACCATACCTTCAGGATGGAGACAGGAAAGTGTGGATCATTCCTTCAGAATACAGCCAGGTAAGCATGGACTGTTTCTTCAGGATGGGCCCAGGTAAGCATGGACCATTCCTTCAGGATGGAGCCAGTAAGTGTGGACCATTCCTTCAGAATACAGCCAGGTAAGCATGGACTGTTTCTTCAGGATGGGCCCATGTTAGCATGGACCATTCCTTCAGGATGGATTCAGGTAAGTATGGACCATTCCTTCAGAATGGAGCAAGGTAAGCATGGACTCTTTCTTCAGGATGGGCCCAGGTAAGCATGGACCATTCCTTCAGGATGGAGCCAGGTAAGTGTGGACCATTCCTTCAGAATACAGCCAGGTAACCATGGACTGTTTCTTCAGGATGGGCCCAGGTAAGCATGGACCATTCCTTCAGAATGGAGCCAGGTAAGTGTGGACCATTCCTTCAGAATACAGCCAGGTAAGCATGGACTGTTTCTTCAAGATGGGCCCAGGTAAGCACGGACCATTCCTTCAGGATGGAGCCAGGTAAGTGTGGACCATTTCTTCAGAATACAGCCAGGTAAGCATGGACTGTTTCTTCAGGATGGGCCCAGGTAAGCATGGACCATTCCTTCAGAGTGGAGTCAGGTAAGTGTGGACCATTCCTTCAGGATGGAGCAAGGTAAGCATGGACTGTTTCTTCAGGATGGGCCCAGGTAAGCATGGACCATTCCTTCAGGATGGAGCCAGGTAAGTGTGGACCATTCCTTCAGAATACAGCCAGGTAAGCATGGACTGTTTCTTCAGGATGGGCCCAGGTAAGCATGGACCAGTCCTGCAGGATGGAGCCAGGTAAGTGTGGACCATTTCTTCAGAATACAGCCAGGTAAGCATGGACTGTTTCTTCAGGATGGGCCCAGGTAAGCATGGACCATTCCTTCAGGATGGAGTCACGTAAGTGTGGACCATTCCTTCAGGATGGAATCAGGTAAGCAGGGACCATTCCTTCAGAATACAGCCAGGTAAGCATGCACTGTTTCTTCAGGATGGGCCCAGTTAATCATGGACCATTCCTTCAGGATGGAGTCAGGTAAGTGGGGACCATTCCTTCAGGATGGATCAAGGTAAGCATGGACTGTTTCTTCAGGATGGGCCCAGGTAAGCATGGACCATTCCTTCAGGATGGAGCCAGGTAAGTGTGGACCATTCCTTCAGAATACAGCCAGGTAAGCATGGACTGTTTCTTCAGGATGGGCCCAGGTAAGCATGGACCATTCCTTCAGGATAGAGCCAGGTAAGTGTGGACCATTCCTTCAGAATACAGTCAGGTAAGCATGGAGTGTTTCTTCAGGATGGGCCCAGGTAAGCATGGACCATTCCTTCAGAGTGGAGTCAGGTAAGTGTGGACCATTCCTTCAGGATGGAGCAAGGTAAGCATGGACTGTTTCTTCAGGATGGGCCCAGGTAAGCATGGACCATTCCTTCAGGATGGAGCCAGGTAAGTGTGGACCATTCCTTCGGAATACTGCCAGGTAAGCATGGAGTGTTTCTTCAGGATGGGCCCAGGTAAGCATGGACCATTCCTTCAGGAGGGAGCTAGGTAAGTGTGGACCATTCCTTCAGAATACAGCCAGGTAAGCATGGAGTGTTTCTTCAGGATGGGCCCAGGTAAGCATGGAACATTCCTTCAGGATGGAGTCAGGTAATTGTGGACCATTCCTTCAGAATACAGCCAGGTAAGCATGGACTGTTTCTTCAGGATGGGCCCAGGTAAGCATGGACCATTCCTTCAGGATGGAGTCACATAAGTGTGGACCATTCCTTCACGATGGAATCAGGTAGGCAGGGACCATTCCTTCAGAATACAGCCAGGTAAGCATGGACTGTTTCTTCAGGATGGGCCCAGGTAAGCAAGGACCATTCCTTCAGGATGGAGCCAGGTAAATGTGGACCATTCCTTCAGGATGGAGCAAGGTAAGCATGGACTGTTTCTTCAGGATGGGCCCATTTAAGCATGGACCATTCCTTCAGGATGGATTCAGGTAAGTATGGACCATTCCTTCAGAATGGAGCAAGGTAAGCATGGACTCTTTCTTCAGGATGGGCCCAGGTAAGCATGGACCATTCCTTCAGGATGGAGCCAGGTAAGTGTGGACCATTCCTTCAGAATACAGCCAGGTAACCATGGACTGTTTCTTCAGGATGGGCCCAGGTAAGCATGGACCATTCCTTCAGAATGGAGCCAGGTAAGTGTGGACCATTCCTTCAGAATACAGCCAGGTAAGCATGGACTGTTTCTTCAAGATGGGCCCAGGTAAGCACGGACCATTCCTTCAGGATGGAGCCAGGTAAGTGTGGACCATTTCTTCATAATACAGCCAGGTAAGCATGGACTGTTTCTTCAGGATGGGCCCAGGTAAGCATGGACCATTCCTTCAGGATGGAGTCAGGTAAGTATGGACCATTCCTTCAGAATGCAACAAGGTAAGCATGGACTGTTTCTTCAGGATGGGCCCAGTTAAGCATGGACCATTCCTTCAGGATGGAGTCAGGTAAGTGTGGACCACTCCATCAGGATGCAGCAAGGTAAGCATTGACTGCTTCTTCAGGATGGGCCCAGGTAAGCATGGACTATTCCTTGAGGATGGAGCCAGGTAATCACTGACCATTCCTTCAGAATACAGCCAGTTAAGCATGGACTGTTTCTTCAGGATGGGCCCAGGTAAGCATGGACCATTCCTTCAGGATGGAGCCAGGTAAGTATTGACCATTCCTTCAGAATACAGCCAGGTAAGCATGGACTGTTTCTTCAGGATGGGCCCAGGTAAGCATGAACCAGTCCTTCAGGATGGAGCCAGGTAAGTGTGGACCATTTCTTCAGAATACAGCCAGGTAAGCATGGACAGTTTCCTCAAGATGGGCCCAGGTAAGCATGGACCAATCCTTCAAGATGGAGTCACGTAAGTGTGGACCATTCCTTCAGGATGGAATCAGGTAAGCAGGGACCATTCCTTCAGAATGCAGCCAGGTAAGCATGCACTGTTTCTTCAGGATGGGCCCAGTTAAGCATGGACCATTCCTTCAGGATGGAGTCAGGTAAGTGTGGACCATTCCTTCAGGATGGGCCCAGGTAAGCATGGACCATTCCTTCAGGATGAAGTCAGGTAAGTGTGGACCATTCCTTCAGAATACAGCCAGGTAAGCATGGACTGTTTCTTCATGATGGGCCCAGGTAACCATGGACCATTCCTTCAGGATAGAGCCAGGTAAGTGTGGACCATTCCTTCAGAATACAGCCAGGTAAGAATGGACTGTTTCTTCAGGATGGGCCCAGGTAAGCATGGACCATTCCTTCACAGTGGAGTCAGGTAAGTGTGGACCATTCCTTCAGGATGGAGCAAGGTAAGCATGGACTGTTTCTTCAGGATGGGCCCAGGTAAGCATGGACCATTCCTTCAGCATGGAGCCAGGTAAGTGTGGACCATTCCATCAGAATACAGCCAGGTAAGCATGGAGTGTTTCTTCAGGATGGGCCCAGGTAAGCATGGACCATTCCTTCAGGATGGAGCCAGGTAAGTGTGGACCATTTCTTCAGAATACAGCCAGGTAAGCATGGACTATTTCTTCAGGATGGGCCCAGGTAAGCATGGACCATTCCTTCAGGGTGGAGTCAGGTAAGTGTGGACCATTCCTTCAGGATGGAGCAAGGTAAGCATGGACTGTTTCTTCAGGATGGGCCCAGGGAAGCATGGACCATTCCTTCAGGATGGAGCCAGGTAAGTGTGGACCATTTCTTCAGAATACAGCCAGGTAAACATGGAGTGTTTCTTCAGGATGGGCCCAGGTAAGCATGGACCATTCCTTCAGGATGCAGTCAGGTATTTGTGGACCATTCCTTCAGAATGGAGCAAGGTAAGCATGGACTGTTTCTTCAGGATGGGCCCAGGTAAGCATGGACCATTCCTTCAGGTTGGAGCCAGGGAAGTGTGGACCATTCCTTCAGAATACAGCCAGGTAAGCATGGACTATTTCTTCAGGATGGGCCCAGGTAAACATGGACCATACCTTCAGGATGGAGACAGGAAAGTGTGGATCATTCCTTCAGAATACAGCCAGGTAAGCATGGACTGTTTCTTCAGGATGGGCCCAGGTAAGCATGGACCATTCCTTCAGGATGGAGCCAGTAAGTGTGGACCATTTCTTCAGAATACAGCCAGGTAAGCATGGACTATTTCTTCAGGATGGGCCCAGGTAAACATGGACCATACCTTCAGGATGGAGACAGGAAAGTGTGGATCATTCCTTCAGAATACAGCCAGGTAAGCATGGACTGTTTCTTCAGGATGGGCCCAGGTAAGCATGGACCATTCCTTCAGGATGGAGCCAGTAAGTGTGGACCATTCCTTCAGAATACAGCCAGGTAAGCATGGACTGTTTCTTCAGGATGGGCCCATGTTAGCATGGACCATTCCTTCAGGATGGATTCAGGTAAGTATGGACCATTCCTTCAGAATGGAGCAAGGTAAGCATGGACTCTTTCTTCAGGATGGGCCCAGGTAAGCATGGACCATTCCTTCAGGATGGAGCCAGGTAAGTGTGGACCATTCCTTCAGAATACAGCCAGGTAACCATGGACTGTTTCTTCAGGATGGGCCCAGGTAAGCATGGACCATTCCTTCAGAATGGAGCCAGGTAAGTGTGGACCATTCCTTCAGAATACAGCCAGGTAAGCATGGACTGTTTCTTCAAGATGGGCCCAGGTAAGCACGGACCATTCCTTCAGGATGGAGCCAGGTAAGTGTGGACCATTTCTTCAGAATACAGCCAGGTAAGCATGGACTGTTTCTTCAGGATGGGCCCAGGTAAGCATGGACCATTCCTTCAGAGTGGAGTCAGGTAAGTGTGGACCATTCCTTCAGGATGGAGCAAGGTAAGCATGGACTGTTTCTTCAGGATGGGCCCAGGTAAGCATGGACCATTCCTTCAGGATGGAGCCAGGTAAGTGTGGACCATTCCTTCAGAATACAGCCAGGTAAGCATGGACTGTTTCTTCAGGATGGGCCCAGGTAAGCATGGACCAGTCCTGCAGGATGGAGCCAGGTAAGTGTGGACCATTTCTTCAGAATACAGCCAGGTAAGCATGGACTGTTTCTTCAGGATGGGCCCAGGTAAGCATGGACCATTCCTTCAGGATGGAGTCACGTAAGTGTGGACCATTCCTTCAGGATGGAATCAGGTAAGCAGGGACCATTCCTTCAGAATACAGCCAGGTAAGCATGCACTGTTTCTTCAGGATGGGCCCAGTTAATCATGGACCATTCCTTCAGGATGGAGTCAGGTAAGTGGGGACCATTCCTTCAGGATGGATCAAGGTAAGCATGGACTGTTTCTTCAGGATGGGCCCAGGTAAGCATGGACCATTCCTTCAGGATGGAGCCAGGTAAGTGTGGACCATTCCTTCAGAATACAGCCAGGTAAGCATGGACTGTTTCTTCAGGATGGGCCCAGGTAAGCATGGACCATTCCTTCAGGATAGAGCCAGGTAAGTGTGGACCATTCCTTCAGAATACAGTCAGGTAAGCATGGAGTGTTTCTTCAGGATGGGCCCAGGTAAGCATGGACCATTCCTTCAGAGTGGAGTCAGGTAAGTGTGGACCATTCCTTCAGGATGGAGCAAGGTAAGCATGGACTGTTTCTTCAGGATGGGCCCAGGTAAGCATGGACCATTCCTTCAGGATGGAGCCAGGTAAGTGTGGACCATTCCTTCGGAATACTGCCAGGTAAGCATGGAGTGTTTCTTCAGGATGGGCCCAGGTAAGCATGGACCATTCCTTCAGGAGGGAGCTAGGTAAGTGTGGACCATTCCTTCAGAATACAGCCAGGTAAGCATGGAGTGTTTCTTCAGGATGGGCCCAGGTAAGCATGGAACATTCCTTCAGGATGGAGTCAGGTAATTGTGGACCATTCCTTCAGAATACAGCCAGGTAAGCATGGACTGTTTCTTCAGGATGGGCCCAGGTAAGCATGGACCATTCCTTCAGGATGGAGTCAAATAAGTGTGGACCATTCCTTCACGATGGAATCAGGTAGGCAGGGACCATTCCTTCAGAATACAGCCAGGTAAGCATGGACTGTTTCTTCAGGATGGGCCCAGGTAAGCAAGGACCATTCCTTCAGGATGGAGCCAGGTAAATGTGGACCATTCCTTCAGGATGGAGCAAGGTAAGCATGGACTGTTTCTTCAGGATGGGCCCATTTAAGCATGGACCATTCCTTCAGGATGGATTCAGGTAAGTATGGACCATTCCTTCAGAATGGAGCAAGGTAAGCATGGACTCTTTCTTCAGGATGGGCCCAGGTAAGCATGGACCATTCCTTCAGGATGGAGCCAGGTAAGTGTGGACCATTCCTTCAGAATACAGCCAGGTAACCATGGACTGTTTCTTCAGGATGGGCCCAGGTAAGCATGGACCATTCCTTCAGAATGGAGCCAGGTAAGTGTGGACCATTCCTTCAGAATACAGCCAGGTAAGCATGGACTGTTTCTTCAAGATGGGCCCAGGTAAGCACGGACCATTCCTTCAGGATGGAGCCAGGTAAGTGTGGACCATTTCTTCAGAATACAGCCAGGTAAGCATGGACTGTTTCTTCAGGATGGGCCCAGGTAAGCATGGACCATTCCTTCAGAGTGGAGTCAGGTAAGTGTGGACCATTCCTTCAGGATGCAGCAAGGTAAGCATGGACTGTTTCTTCAGGATGGGCCCAGGTAAGCATGGACCATTCCTTCAGGATGGAGCCAGGTAAGTGTGGACCATTCCTTCAGAATACAGCCAGGTAAGCATGGACTGTTTCTTCAGGATGGGCCCAGGTAAGCATGGACCATTCCTTCAGGATGGAGCCAGGTAAGTGTGGACCATTTCTTCAGAATACAGCCAGGTAAGCATGGACTGTTTCTTCAGGATGGGCCCAGGTAAGCATGGACCATTCCTTCAGGATGGAGTCACGTAAGTGTGGACCATTCCTTCAGGATGGAATCAGGTAAGCAGGGACCATTCCTTCAGAATACAGCCAGGTAAGCATGCACTGTTTCTTCAGGATGGGCCCAGTTAATCATGGACCATTCCTTCAGGATGGAGTCAGGTAAGTGGGGACCATTCCTTCAGGATGGATCAAGGTAAGCATGGACTGTTTCTTCAGGATGGGCCCAGGTAAGCATGGACCATTCCTTCAGGATGGAGCCAGGTAAGTGTGGACCATTCCTTCAGAATACAGCCAGGTTAGCATGGACTGTTTCTTCAGGATGGGCCCAGGTAAGCATGGACCATTCCTTCAGGATAGAGCCAGGTAAGTGTGGACCATTCCTTCAGAATACAGTCAGGTAAGCATGGAGTGTTTCTTCAGGATGGGCCCAGGTAAGCATGGACCATTCCTTCAGAGTGGAGTCAGGTAAGTGTGGACCATTCCTTCAGGATGGAGCAAGGTAAGCATGGACTGTTTCTTCAGGATGGGCCCAGGTAAGCATGGACCATTCCTTCAGGATGGAGCCAGGTAAGTGTGGACCATTCCTTCGGAATACTGCCAGGTAAGCATGGAGTGTTTCTTCAGGATGGGCCCAGGTAAGCATGGACCATTCCTTCAGGAGGGAGCCAGGTAAGTGTGGACCATTCCTTCAGAATACAGCCAGGTAAGCATGGAGTGTTTCTTCAGGATGGGCCCAGGTAAGCATGGAACATTCCTTCACGATGGAGTCAGGTAATTGTGGACCATTCCTTCAGAATACAGCCAGGTAAGCATGGACTGTTTCTTCAGGATGGGCCCAGGTAAGCATGGACCATTCCTTCAGGATGGAGTCACATAAGTGTGGACCATTCCTTCACGATGGAATCAGGTAGGCAGGGACCATTCCTTCAGAATACAGCCAGGTAAGCATGGACTGTTTCTTCAGGATGGGCCCAGGTAAGCAAGGACCATTCCTTCAGGATGGAGCCAGGTAAATGTGGACCATTCCTTCAGGATGGAGCAAGGTAAGCATGGACTGTTTCTTCAGGATGGGCCCAGGTAAGCATGGACCATTCCTTTAGGATGGAGTCAGGTAAGTGTGGACCATTCCTTCAGGATGGAGCAAGGTAAGCATGGACTGTTTCTTCAGGATGGGCCCAGGTAAGCATGGACCATTCCTTCAGGATGGAGCCAGGTAAGTGTGGACCATTCCTTCAGAATACAGCCAGGTAAGCATGGACTGTTTCTTCAGGATTGGCCCAGGTAAGCATGGACCATTCCTTCAGGATAGAGCCAGGTAAGTGTGGACCATTCCTTCAGAGTACAGCCAGGTAAGCATGGACTGTTTTTTCAGGATGGGCCCAGGTAAGCATGGACCATTCCTTCAGAGTGGAGTCAGGTAAGTGTTGACCATTCCTTCAGGATGGAGCACGTAAGCATGGACTGTTTCTTCAGGATGGGCCCAGGTAAGCATGGACCATTCCTTCAGGATAGAGCCAGGTACGTGTGGACCATTCCTTCAGAATACAGCCAGGTAACCATGGACTGTTTCTTCTGGATGGGCCCAGGTAAGCATGGACCATTCCTTCAGAGTGGAGTCAGGTAAGTGTGGACCATTCCTTCAGGATGGAGCAAGGTAAGCATGGACTGTTTCTTCAGGATGGGCCCAGGTAATCATGGACCATTCCTTCAGGATGGAGTCACATAAGTGTGGACCATTCCTTCAGGATGGAATCAGGTAGGCAGGGACCATTCCTTCAGAATACAGCCAGGTAAGCATGGACTGTTTCTTCAGGATGGGCCCAGGTAAGCATGGACCATTCCTTCAGGATGGAGCCAGATAAGTGTGGACCATTTCTTCAGAATACAGCCAGGTAATCATGGACTGTTTCTTCAGGATGGGCCCAGGTAACCATGGACCATTCCTTCAGGATGGAGTCACGTAAGTGTGGACCATTCCTTCAGGATGGAATCAGGTAAGCAGGGACCATTCCTTCAGAATACAGCCAGGTAAGCATGCACTGTTTCTTCAGGATGGGCCCAGTTAAGCATGGACCATTCCTTCGGGATGGAGTCAGGTATGTGGGGACCATTCCTTCAGGATGGATCAAGGTAAGCATGGACTGTTTCTTCAGGATGGGCCCAGGTAAGCATGGACCATTCCTTCAGGATGGAGCCAGGTAAGTGTGGACCATTCCTTCAGAATACAGCCAGGTAAGCATGGACTGTTTCTTCAGGATGGGCCCAGGTAAGCATGGACCATTCCTTCAGAGTGGAGTCAGGTAAGTGTGGACCATTCCTTCAGGATTGTGCAAGGTAAGCATGGACTGTTTCTTCAGGATGGGCCCATGTAAGCATGGACCATTCCTTCAGGATGGAGCCAGGTAAGTGTGGACCATTCCTTCAGAATACTGCCAGGTAAGCTTGGAGTGTTTCTTCAGGATGGGCCCAGGTAAGCATGGACCATTCCTTCAGGATGGAGCCAGGTAAGTGTGGACCATTCCTTCAGAATACAGCCAGGTAAGCATGGAGTGTTTCTTCAGGATGGGCCCAGGTAAGCATGGACCATTCCTTCAGGATGGAGCTAGGTAATTGTGGACCATTTCTTCAGAATACAGCCAGGTAAGCATGGACTGTTTCTTCAGGTTGGGCCCAGGTAAGCATGGACCATTCCTTCAGGATGGAGTCAGGTAATTGTGGACCATTCCTTCAGAATGGAGCAAGGTAAGCATGGAGTGTTTCTTCAGGATGGGCCCAGGTAAGCATGGACCATTCCTTCAGGATGGAGCCAGGTAAGTGTGGACCATTTCTTCAGAATACAGCCAGGTAAGCATGGACTGTTTCTTCAGGATGGGCCCAGGTCAGCATGGACCATTCCTTCAGGGTGGAGTCAGGTAAGTGTGGACCATTCCTTCAGGATGGAGCAAGGTAAGCATGGACTGTTTCTTAAGGATGGGCCCTGGTAAGCATGGACCATTCCTCCAGGTTGGAGCCAGGTAAGTGTGGACCATTTCTTCAGAATACCGCCAGGTAAGCATGGATTGTTTCTTCAGGATGGGCCCAGGTAAGCATGGACCATTCCTTCAGGATGGAGTCAGGTAATTGTGGACCATTCCTTCAGAATGGAGCAAGGTAATCATGGACTGTTTCTTCAGGATTGGCCCCGGTAAGCATGGACCATTCCTTCAGGTTGGAGCCAGGTAAGTGTGGACCATTCCTTCAGAACACAGCCAGGTAAGCATGGACTGTTTCTTCAGGATGGGCCCAGGTAAGCATGGACCATTCCTTCAGGATGGAGTCAGGTAATTGTGGACCATTCCTTCAGAATGGAGCAAGGTAAGCATGGACTGTTTCTTCAGGATGGGCCCAGGTAAGCATGGACCATTCCTTCAGGTTGGAGCCAGGTAAGTGTGTACCATTCCTTCAGAATACAGCCAGGTAAGCATGGACTGTTTCTTCAGGATGGGCCCAGGTAAGCATGGACCATTCCTTCAGGATGGAGTCACGTAAGTGTGGACCATTCCTTCAGGATGGAATCAGGTAAGCAGGGACCATTCCTTCAGAATACAGCCACGTAAGCATGGACTGTTTCTTCAGGATGGGCCCAGGTAAGCATGGACCATTCCTTCAGGATGGAGTCAGGTAAGTGTGGACCATTCCTTCAGGATGGAGCAAGGTAAGCATGGACTGTTTCTTCAGGATGGGCCCAGGTAAGCATGGACCATTCCTTCAGGATGGAGCCAGGTAAGTGTGGACCATTCCTTCAGAATACAGCCAGGTAAGCATGGACTGTTTCTTCAGGATGGGCCCAGGTAAGCATGGACCATTCCTTCAGGATGGAGCCAGGTAAGTGTGGACCATTCCTTCAGAGTACAGCCAGGTAAGCATGGACTGTTTCTTCAGGATGGGCCCAGGTAAGCATGGACCATTCCTTCACGATGGAGTCAGGTAATTGTGGACCATTCCTTCAGGATGAGCGCAGGTAAGCATGCACGATTCCCTCAGGATGGAGACAGATAAGTATGGACCATTCATTCAGGATGCAGCCAGGTCAGAATGAACCATTATTTCAGTATAAAGCCGTGTCAGAATGAACCATTATTTCAGGATAAAGCCAGGTAAGTATGGACCATTTCTTCATGAGGCAGCCAGGTAAGCACAGACTTTTCCTTCAGGATACAGCCAGGTAAATGTGAACAATTCCTTTAGGTTGGAGCTAGATAAGCATTAACAATATTTTTCAGAATGCTGCCAGGTAAGCATGAACCATTCCTTCAGGATGAAGCCAGGTAAGTGTGGACCATTTTTTGAGGATACAGCCAAGTAAGTATGATACATATCTGCAGGATACAGCCAGGTGAGCATAGACCATTCCCTCAGGATGAATCCAGGTAAGCATAGACCATTCCTTCAGGATGTAGCTAGGTAAGCATGAACCATTCTTTCCGGATGGTGCTGTGTGATTGTGGACCATTCCTTCAAAATGGAGTCAGGTAAGCATGGACCATTTTTTCAGGATGCAGCAATATAAGCGTGGCCGTTCCTTCAGGATGCAGCTATGTAAGCAGGGACGATTTTTTCAGGATGCAGCCATGTGAGCAGGGAAAATTTCTTCAGGATGGACTCAGGTAAGCATGGACCATTCTATCAGGATGCAGCCAGGTAAGCATGGACCATTTCTTCAGGGTGCAGGAAGGTAAGCATGGACAATTCCTTCAGTATGGAGCCAGGTAAGCGTGGACCATTCTTTCAGGATGCAGCCAGGAAAGCATGGACCATTTTCAAGGATACAGTCAGGTAAGTATGATACATGCCTTCAGGATACAGCCAAGTAATCATGAATCATTCCTTCAGGATGCAGCCATGTAGGCAGAGACCATTCCTTCAGGTTGGAGCCAGGTAAGCATGAACCGTTCCTTCAGGATGAAGGCAGGTAAGCATGGAGAATTACTTCAAGATGGAGCCTGGTAAGTATGGACCATTCCTTCAGGATGGAACCAGGTCAGCATAGACCATTTCTTCAGGATGCAGACAGGTCAATATGAACCATTCTTTCAGGATGCAGCCAAGTAAGCATGGACCATTTCTTGAGAATGGAGCCTGGAAAGCATGGACCGTTCCTTCAGATTGCAGCCAGGTAAACAAGAACTATTCCTTCACGATGAATCCAGGTAAGCATGGACCATTCCTTCATGATGGAACCACGTAAGGATGGACCATTTCTTCAGAATGCAGCCAGGTAAGCCTGAACCATTTCTTCACCATGGAGAGAAGTAAGCATGGACCATTCCTTCAGGATGGAGTCAGGTAAGCATGAACCATTCTTTCAGGGTAAATGCAGGTAAGTATGGATCTGTCTTTCATCATGTGGCCTCGTAAGCATGGACCATTCCTTCAGGATGGAACCAGGTAAGCATGAGCCATTGCTTTTGGATGCAGCCAGGTAAGTACAAAACATTCCTTCAGGATGCAGCCAGGTAAGCATGAACTTTTCATTCATGGTGTAGGCAGGAACGCATGGACCATTTTTTAAGGATGGACTCAGGTAAACATGGACCATTCCTTCCAAATGGAGCGTGGTAAGCATGGATCATTCATTCAGGATGCAGCCAGGTCAACACGAAACATTTTTTCTGGATGGAGCCAGGTAAGCATGGACCATTCCATCAGGATGCAGCCAGATAAGTATGGACAATTCCTTCAGGATGGAGCCAGGTAAGCATGAAAAATTCCTCCATGATGCAGCCAGGTAAGCGTGGACCATTTCTTCAGGATGCAGCCAGGTAAGCATGGACCATTCCATCAGTATGTAGCCACATAAGCATGGACCACTCCTTCAAGATGGAGCCAGGTAAGAGTGGACCATTCCTTCAGGATGCAGTCAGGTAAGCAGGGACCATTTTTTTCAGGATGCAGGCAGGAAAGTATGAACCATTCCTTTAGGATGCAGCCAGGTAAGTGTGCACAATTCCTTCAGGATGGAGCCAGGTTAGCATGAACCATGTTTTCCAGACTGTAGCCAGGTAAGCATGGACCATTATTTCAGGATGCAGCCAGGTAAGTATGAACCATGTTTTTCAGACTCTAGCCAGATAAGTATGGACCATTCTTTCAGGATGCAGCCAGGTAAGCATGGACCATGCTTTCAGATGGAATCAGATAAGCATGTAACATTCCTTTAGAATGCAGCCAGGTAAGTGCGGACTATTCCCTCAGGATGGAGCCAGGTAAGCCTGGACCATTCTGTCAGGATGTAGCCTGGTAAGCATGAATCATTTCTTAAGGATGGAGTCAGACAAGCACACCCCATTCCTTCAGAGTGCAGCTAGGTAAGTGTGGACCATTCCCTCAAGATGGAGCCAGGTAAGTGTGGACCATTCCTTCAGAATGCAGCCAGGTATGCAGAGACCATTTTTTTCAGGATGCAGGCAAGAAAGTATGAACCATTCCTTCAGGATGCAGCCAGGTAAGTGTGCACAGTTTCTTCAGGATGGAGCCAGGTTAGCATGAACCATATTTTTCAAATGTGGCCAGGTAAGCATGAACATTTCTTTCAGGATGCAGCCAAGTAAGTATGAACCATTTCTTCAGTATGGAGCCAGGTAAGCATAGACTATTCTTTCAGGATGCAGCCAGGAAAGCAATGACCAGTTTTTAAAGATACAGCCAGGTAATTATGATACATACCTTCAGGATGCAGCCAGGTAAGCATGAACCATTTTTTCAGGATGTATCCAGGTGTGCATAGACCACTCCTTCAGGATGTGGCCAGGTAGGCGTGGACCATTTTTTCAGGACCAAGCCAGGTAAGCAGGAATCATTCTTTAAGGATGCAGCAAGGTAAGTATGGACCATTCCTTCAGAATGCAGACAGGTAGGAGTAGATCATTTATTGAGGATGCAGCCAGGTAATCAGGAACCATTTCTTCAGGATCCAACCAGGTAAGCATGACCCATTCCTTCAAGATGGAGCCAGGTAACTGTCAACAATCCCTTCAGGTTGCAACTGGGTAAGCATGGACCATTCCTTCAGGATGGAGCCTGCCAAGTGTGGACCATTCCTTCAGGATGCAGCCAGGTAAGCATCAGCCATTCCTTCATAATGCGGCCAGGTAAGCATGGACCATTCCTTCAGGATGGAGCCTGCCAAGTGTGGACCATTCCTTCAGGATGCAGCCAGGTAAGCATCAGCCATTCCTTCGTAATGCAGCCAGGTAAGCATCAGCCATTCCTTCATAATGCAGTCAGGTAAGCATGGACCATTCCTTCAGGATGGAGCCTGCCAAGTGTGGACCGTTCCTTCAGGATGCCGCCAGGTAAGCATCAGCCATTCCTTCATAATGCGGCCAGGTAAGCATGGACCATTCCTTCAGGATGCCGCCAGGTAAGCCTGAACCATTCCTTCAGAATGCATCCAGGTAAGCATGGACCAGTTTTTAAGTATACAGTCAGTTAAGTATGACACATACCCTCAGGATACAGCCAGGTAAGCATGAACCATTCCTTCAGGATGCCACCAGGTAAGCATGAACCATTCCATCAGGATGGAGCCAGATAAGTATGAACCATTCCATCAGGATGCAGCAAGGTAAACATGGACTAATCTGTCAGGATGCAGTCGGGTAAGCATGAACCATTTCTTAATAGTGGAGTCAGGTAAGCACATACCATTCCTTTAGAATGCAGCCAGTTAAGCATGGATCATTCCTTTAGGATGTAGCCAGGTAAGCATGGACCATTCTTTTAGCACGGAACCAGGTAAGAATGGACCATTCTTTAGCATGGAACCAGGTAAGCATGGACCATTCCTTCAGGATGAAGCTAGGTAATAATGGACCATTCATTCAGGATGCATCCTGGTAAGTATGAATTATTCCTTCAGGATGCAACCAGGTAAGTATGGCCATTCCTTCAGGAAGGAGCCAGGTAAGCAGGAACAATTCTTTCAGGATGGAACAAGGTAAGCATGCACTATTCCTTCAGAAAGCAGTGAGGTTAGCATGGATCATTCCTTCAGGATGCAAACAGGTACGTGTGGGCATTCCTTCAGGATGTAGCCAGGTAAGCAGGGACCATTTTTTTCAGGATGCAGGCAGGAAAGTATGAACCTTTCCTCGGGATGCAGCCAGGTAAGTCTGGACACTTCCTTCAGGATGGAGCCAGGTAAGCATGAACCATTTTTTCAGAATGTGGCCAGGTAAGCATGAACTTTTCCTTTAGGGTGGAGCCTGGTAAGCATGGACCACTCCCTCAGGATTCATCCAGGTAAGCCTGGACCATTCCTTCAGGATGGTGTGAGGTAAGCATGGACAGTTCCTTCAGGATGCAGGCAGGTAAGCGTGGACCATTCCTCCTGGATACAGCTAGGCAAATATGAACCATTCCTTCAAGATGGAGGCTGGTAGGCATGGACCACTGCTTCAGGATGCAGGCAGGTAAGTGTGGACCATTCCTTCAGTATGGAGCCAGGTAAGTGTGGACCATTTCTTCAGGATGGTGCCAGGTAACCAGGGACCATTCTTTCAGGATACAGCCAGGAAAGGATGGACCATTTTTTAAGGATACAGCCACATAAATACGATACATACTTTCAGGATAAAGCCAGGTAAGCATGAACCATTCCTTCAGAATGCAGCCATGTAGGCAGAGACCAACCCTTCAGGTTGGAGCCAGGTAAGCATGAACCATTCCTCCATGATGAAGCCAGTTAAGCATAGGCAATTCCTTTAGGATGGAGCCAGGTAAGCATGGGCCATTCTTTCAGAATGCAGTCAGGTAAGCATGAACCATTCCTTCAGGATCCTGCCAGGTAAGCGTGGACCATTATTTCAGGATGCAGTCAGGTAAGCAAGAACCATTCCTTCAGGATCCTGCCATGTAAGCGTGGACCATTATTTCAGGATGCAGTCAGGTAAGCATGAACCATTACTTCAGAATGGAGCCAGGTAGGCATGGACCATTCCTTCATGATGCAGCCAGGTAAGCATGAACCATTACTTCACCGTGGAGTGAGGTAAACATGAACCAATCCTTCAGGATGAATCCTGATAAGTATGGACCTTTCTTTTAGGGTGTAGCCTCATAAGAGTGGACCACTCCTTCAGGATGGACCCAGGTAAGTGTCAACCATTCCTTCCTAATGCAGCATGGTAAGCATGGATCACTCATTCAGGATGCAGCCAGGTAAGTACAAAACATTCCTTCTGGATGGAGCCAGGTAAGCATGGACCATTCTGTCAGGATGCAGCCACGTAAGCATGAACCATTTCTTCAGGATGGAGTCAGAAAAGCATGTACCATTTTTTCAGAATGCAGCCAGGTAACTGTGGACGATTCCCTCAGGATGGAGCCAAGTAAGCATGGACCATTCTCTCAGCATGGAGCCAGGTAAGCATGGACCATTCCTTAAGAATGGAGCCAGGTAAGCATGAACCATTTCATCAGGATGCAGCCAGGTAAGCATGAACCATTCTGTCAGGATACAGCCAGGTAAGGGTGGACCATTCTGTCAGGATACAGCCAGGTAAGCATGGACCATTCTTTCAGATGGTGTCAGGTAAGCATGAACCATTCTGTCAGGATGCAGCCAGGTAAACATGGGCCGTTCCATCAGGATGCAGCCCTGTAAGTGTGAACCATTTCTTAAGAATGGAGCCAGGTAAGCAGGGACCATTTTTTCAGGATGCAGTCAGAAACTATGAACCATCCCCTCAGGATGGAGCCAGGTAAGCATGGACCATTCCTTCAGGATGCAGCCAGGTAAGTAAGAACCATTCTTTCAGTACAGAAGCAAGCAAGCATGGACCATTCCTTCAGGATGCAGCCAGGTAAACATAGACCATTCCTTCAGGATAGTGCCAGGTAGGTGTGGATCTTCCTTCAGGACGGAGCCAGGTAAGCATGGACCATTCCTTCAGGATGCAGCCAGGTCAGCATGGACCATTCCTTCAGGATAGTGCCAGGTAGGTGTGGATCTTCCTTCAGGACAGAGCCAGGTAAGCATGGACCATTCCTTCAGGATGCAGCCAGGTAAGCATGGACCATTCCTTCAGGATAGTGCCAGGTAGGTGTGGATCTTCCTTCAGGACGGAGCCAGGTAAGCATGGACCATTCCTTCAGGATGCAGCCAGGTAAACATAGACCATTCCTTCAGGATAGTGCCAGGTAGGTGTGGATCTTTCCTTCAGGACGGAGCCAGGTAAGCATGGACCATTCCTTCAGGATGCAGCCAGGTAAGCATGGACCATTCCTTCAGGATAGTGCCAGGTAGGTGTGGATCTTCCTTCAGGACGGAGCCAGGTAAGCATGGACCATTCCTTCAGGATGCAGCCAGGTAAGCATGGACCATTCCTTCAGGATAGTGCCAGGTAGGTGTGGACATTTCCTTCAGGATGGAGCCAGGTAAGTGCGGACCATTCCATCAGGATGCAACTTGGTAAGCATGAGCCATTTCTTAAGGATGGAGTCAGATAAGCATGTAGCATTCCTTCTGAATGCAGCCAGCTAAGTGTGGGCCATTCCTTCAGGATGCAGCCAGGTAAGCATGGACCATTCCTTCTGGATGGAGGTAGGTACGTATGCACCTTTTTTTCAGGATGGAGTCCGGTAAGCATGGACCATTCCTTCAGGATGGAGCCAGGTAAGCATGGACTACTTCCTCAGGATGGAGTCGGATAAGCATGGCCCTCTCCTGGATGCAGCCAGGTAAGGGTGGACCGTTCCTTCAAGATGGAGCCATCAAACATGCAGATCACCCCACAGCACCCTTGCTCCAGTTGACTGGGTTTGGTAACATGGTGGCAAAATCAAAAACTTGTAAACTAGTAGAAAAACGTTTTTTAGCTCATGAGTCCTCTTCAGGCCAAGCTCAGAAGCTGGTGCCATTGGTCAGCCTCCCTTCGTGGTTGGAGTTCTTCTCCCACATCAGCTTCTGCCAGGGCGTGTGCCTGTGCAGCCCGAGTCCAGTGTTCCTGTGAGCTGAACTTGGCAGGGAAGGCTGCTCTGAGGCGGACACCACAGCAACATCGGTGCCTGGGGAACTTCAGATCCAAGGGCACCTGAAGACCTAGTATCCACACGGCTCCCTTCTCCTGTAACCCACCACGATGTGGGCGGCCTCGAAGAAGGCCCACGAGCAACATACCGAGTGCTCCAGGGAAGCGAGAGCACACACCGGGTAAGGGCTCGAGGCAGAGGTGAGCGAGCCAGGGCTGGAAAACTAAAGGTGACGTGAGCACAAGATAATGACAGTGCAGTTCCTAGAACAGCATGGAAGACACTGCCTCAAGACAAATATTTTTTGAATTCCTAATGGAAAAATGGCATTTCTTTTATTTATTTTTATGTATTTTTGAGTGTTAACAAATAGTTCTAGTGATAATTAGCATCTTTGTATATTTATTGAAAACCAGCACTAAATCTGTATATTTACAGAAAAATGCCTTAGACATAGAAATAGCACAATTCCATGTTTGTGAATTGACAGCTTCCTCTAAACATAGAGTAGAGATTCAGCAATTATCACTACAGCTGTTTGTTAACATTTGACAATAGATAAATAATGACTAGAAATCAATCTTTTCATTAAAATTCAAGAAACAAAAAGTATCTAAAGGAATTTCATTATTCCTTTGAAAAGTCCAGGCTAGTCTTGAGGAGGCTCCTCTACATACGTTGTGGTGTTTCCATGTTCATGGGCCCAAAGTGGTCTTTTTTCCTACAAATGTGTAGCAAAATAAAAGTGAAGATCTGAGATCATATCAGAGAGGGTAGAGGTGATGTGGGCCCTCCAGCCTCAACTCACCCACCCGCCTGCTTTCATTCAATCGAAGGCTCAGGCAACACACACACATGCACACACACGCATGCACATGTACACACATGCACACACACGCACATGTACACAAATGCAATGCACATACACACACACAAATGCACACACGCACACAATTCCCATACACACGGACACACACACCGTATACACTCATGCATATGCACACATATTTGCACACATGCATACACACACATTCACACACACATACATGTGCATGCAGTCACATGCAAAATACATGCACATGCTTGCACACTGTCACACACACATGCACACTCACACACACAATCAGTACTTGTGTCAAAATCCTCACATGGCTGTTCTTTCTACCCATTGGACCAGCAAATGTGTTCTTGTCCCAAGTAACCTGAGCCCCTCCAAAAAAAAACAAAAAAAAAGAAACACCACTGATTTATGTTTTAGATCTTAATTCATCAAAAACACTGAGCTAGGCCAGGCATGGTAGTGAGCTTCTGTAGTCCCAGCTACTCAGGAAGCTGAGCCACAATAATCACTTGAACCCAGGAGGCAGAGGTTGCAGTGAGCCAAGATCGCGCCACTGCACTCCAGTCTGGGTGACAGAGCAAGACACTGAAGGAAAGGAGAGGAAAGGACAGGAAAGGTGAAAGAAATGGAAAGGGAAGGATAGGAGAGGGGAGGAGAGGGGAAGAGAGGAGAGGTGAGGGGAGGGGAGTTAGATATGATCTGTGCCTGAGAATTAATTTGGTTTTCTTACAAACCAAAAGGCAGGATTCACAATCAAGACAAGGTGATGATGGACAGGCATGCACACATGAGCACGTGGAGCACACAGTGTGTTTGGCTGCAGGAGAAGAATCCAGTTTTCAGCAGGTGAATGCAGAGAAGCCCTGCTGCTCAGGACAAAGAATGTTTCCAGAATGAACCATGTTTGCAGCTCTCCATTGCCCAGGATGAGCGGCGTCCCCAGGTGCCTGGCCCTTTTATCACCCAGGCTGATGGTACATCCAGAGGCAGCCATGGCTCAGCCCCCAAGCAAGGCCAGCAATGGCCGGGAAGAAGCTTATTCAATGGGATTCTCTGCAGAGTTGTTCTGACTTTCAGCTTGCAGGGATGTGGGCATAGAAAACAAGAGGCTGACTTCTCAATCAATCGTCACTTAAGGATGCAGAGCCAGTGGAAGCCCTTTCTTTCATGACTTTTAGCATTTTTTCTTCATTTTCAGAAAATCCACACCATCTCCATATATGCATGCACGCATGAGTGTCCGTCCGCCCCCTAACTGTGGGGTTAAGAATCATGTGACTGCTCATGCTGGAAAAACAAGACAATCACCATCATAAAAGCCCACATCATTTACAGATCTTGGAACTTGAACTTTCTTTAAAAGATAAATATAGTAGTTTACATTTTGGAGCTGGAGACATTGTCTTCCTTTCTCTTTTCCCCTTCCACCCTTCTCAAGTATACTTGCCTTTATTTTGAATGAGAAACAGGCAACGGGGGGGTGCCACCTCACACAAAGAAAAAGGCAATTATTTAGAAACTGCGCAGTCAAAAAGTCAGAAGTGTCTAAAAGCACAGTGAGTCCCCCTGTTCATGGCATGGATGCCCTGTCCACTGATGGCACAGCCACACTGCTGGTGCCTGGGTAGCACCTGCCTCCTTGAGCGATGGTCACTGAAGCAAACCCCACTGTCTGTAGATGCCGTTAGCATCCCCCTCATGAGGTCTGCTCTGTGAGAAGGTCGGTCAGTGAGTGGCAGCACTGGGCAGTGATGAGGAGGACCCTGAGTGGGTGTGGGGCGTCGCCTGGATATTAGCTGTGGGTCAGGTAGACACAGAGAAGATGCTGGTGGGCTAGGCACATGTATCCACCCAGAAGATGAATCTGGTTTTGATCGAAAGTCTTCATAGAGAGAAGAACACTTGGATTTGTTTTGGGGAAGGCTTCCCTGTTAGGATGTAGACGGGGACAGATGTACTGTGACTGCTAGTCCAGGAGACAGATGCTGAGTGAGTGAGGTTTGGATGTCTCGCGTGCCCTGGGCTGGAGGCTGAGATTTCCACGTTAGGTAGGACATGTGTCAGCCGCAGGGACTCACCGGCAGTAGGAGTTTATAGAGAGGGATTTCTGTTGAAGTCATTCACTTCCTCATTTACCTCCATCCCCATATTTGCAATCTTGACTGGGTCCCTGATGACTGCATCCTAGAGTCCCAATTTCCTGAGTTAGAGTACTTCATTTGTAAGCAAAAGTAACCCAGTTCAAGCTGGCATAGGAAAGAAGCAGAAGGCATTCAACGCGGCTGCAGGCATGGATGGCTCCAAGCGTGTAGCAGTGGCAATGCCTTCAGTGGTCCTTGGCTCTGCGTTGGCTGGGCTGGCTTCCTCAGGCGGGAGCATCGCACACTGTGAAGGTGACCATGGCATGCCCTGTGCTGGGGGTGGGCAGCAGGAAGCATCCACCACAGGCACTGAACCTGTAGGGCGCCCAAACCAACAGCCAGCCCCATGGTGGCACTCCACGCGTGGGGGGCCAGGAAGCCTTTAAAATCTCGTTCCAAAACTGACTTAATGACCCAGAAAGCGCAAGTCGGTAAATAGCAATGAAAAAGCAGGCACAACTATTGACAATTGCAAAGACATGGAATCAGCCTATATGCCCATCAATGGTAGGCTGGATAAAGAAAATGTGGTACATATACACCATGGCCTACTACGCAGCCATAGCAAGGAATGAGATCATGTCCTTTTCAGGAACATGGATGGAGCTGGAAGCCATTATCCTCAGCAAACTAATGCAGGAAGAGAAAACCAAACACCGCATGTTCTCACTTATAAGTGGGAGCCGAATGATGAGAACACATGGACACACTATGGGGAACAACACACTGAGGCCTGTCGGAGGGTGGGGCATGGAGGGACAGAGACCATCAGGAAGAATAGCTGAGGGATGCTGGCTTCATACCTAGGTGACGGGATGGTCTGTGCAGCAAACCTCCATGGCACGTGTTTACCTTTGCAACAAACCTGCACACCCTGCACGTGTACCCTGGAACTTAAAAGCTGAAGGAAAAAAGAAAAGTAAAAGCAGGCACAAATCTTTCTCTCTCTATGCCACACACATGCACACACACACACACAGATTTATAAAAGCAAGTACAAATTGGACATGCGTGGACTCTGCACTGCAGCCATGAGGTGGGATTCTCTCTGCAGAAGAACAGAGAATTCTCTCTGGGTGTGGTCTGGCCTCAGAGTCGGTGTGTGCCATCATCCCTCCCTCCGCTTCCTGCCCCTGCAGATTCCTGCAGGCACTGGGGAGTGACTTCTCTGAGAAGTCTTGAGATCATGAAACCTGTGGTCTTGCCCAACACAGTTCCCAAACTCACTCGTGCCCAAGGCTTTATTTTGAAAGATGCCTATTTGATCTCCCAGAGCTCCAGCTCTGTGGAAAACCCCTTGGGAAGGCTGATCTAACCCAATCTCCCCACTCTACAGATGAGGACATTGAGGCCCCGAAGCATGGAGAGGCCTCTCCACGGATGCAGAGTGAGTGACTGAAGCTCTGGCTGGGTGTGTGTTCATCGCTTGACCCATCTTCCTGAGACCCACGGCTGCTGTCGTGGGTTGAATCATGTCCCCCAAAAAGATGTGTTCGAGTCTTAACCCATGGCACCTGGGGCTTTATATGGAAACGGGGTCCTTGCAGATATAACTGGTTAAGATGAGGTCACACTGAGTAGGGGGGGCCCTAATTCAATGGCCGATGTCTTTATTAAATGGGAAAACATGGACACAGACATGCGCAGAGGGAAGACAGCCATGCAGCAGCAGGGCCAGAGACAGGAGTGATGGGTTTACGAGCCAGGAGCGGCAAGGAGCTGGAAGAGGCGGCGAAAGGCTCCTCCCTGCGGGGCTCAGAGGGGCAGGGTCTCAGGCTTCCAGCCTCCTGCAGAGCTGGAGGTAAGAAACTCGTGCTGTCATATGCCACCTGGCGTGTGGCACTTTGTTACGACAGCCACAGGTGGGGGGCGAGGACCATCTGCTGAGGAAGCTTCATTTATACCGGGAGGGATGCGTGGAAACTGAACAGCCCCGCATCATCCCCCGCCGCCCCCACCCCTTTCTAGCCCCAGTCAGTCTAGGGAATAACAAAAACCTGTGATTCTAAAGCATCTTCCAAACCAGTAACGGGCCTCAGAGAGAGAGATGGGGACAGTCAGGAAACTTAGTCATATTAGTCATAATTCTAAAGAAAATTATCTTCCTGTTTGTTTTCAAAAATACCAGTTTTCTTCAAATATGAATATAAGCCTGATCAATTGGTTCATTATATTGAAATGTTCAGTTACGTACAATAATTATAATTAAGCACTGAAATCCAACTCAAACCAATCTATTTAAATGAACCCGAACCTACGAGAAAACATCAAACTCATGTTAAAAAAAAATGTAGGGTTAGAATATTCCGCAATCCTTTGAAGATATTATTTATAATCGTGCTTGGTAAATCAGAGAAACCCCTTAGAGCCCAAAGACAATGTCTAGCATAAAGCACTGTAGAAATAAAACCCTTTATATATTTTTTATAAAGCCTAAAATCAATCCTGACCCAGGCAGCAGTTTCTACATATTTAGATTTGGTTTGTTGCACCTTTAATGGAATGCTATCAATTTTCTGCCTTTTAGATGCTTGGGCAATTGAAGCATTTTAACACTGCTCTAGAATAAGTGCTTTCTGTGAGTTCATCCTCCAGTTCAAACAGAACTGCATTTCCTGGTAAAATTTTACCTCGTAATTATTACACTTTTTTTTATCATCTTCATGCCACAAGATGTGAAGTCCAAAATATTTATGTTCCCGATTGTCAGTCTTTCCTTCTTAGAGATGTCGAAGTGAAAACAAAATAGACAACTCATTTTGTTGAATCAATACAGGCGCATTATCACAGCAAGATTATAATTCAGGTGCACAAAACCTGCATTTTCAGAGTACAGCAAGGAAGTCGGGAGGTGCTAAGAGGCACAGCAGGTAACTAATATCAGTAAAGTGGCCCAGATCTGTGTTCAAACAACAGAATAGGGGGTCTAACTTCAACCCACAAAAATGACAAAAATCAGAGTGAAGCGCAGAGTCCGTCCCTGAACCCGCCCTGCCACGCGGCAGCCAGGGAGGGTGACCTGCTGTCGTCTGGGGTGGTGACGCTGCTTGGTGACCTCGCCACACGAAAGGACCATGATTCCTGCAGGGCGGAAGCAACCGATGAGCAGTAACAACTCTTCACGGGGACACAGACAGGTAACCGGGGCACAGGTGTCCTGAACACCGCGAGGCAGCCCCCTCCTCCGAGCTCCCTCTCTCTCTCCTCTCTCCTGCCGTGGCTCCCCCACTTCCTTCCTCCGTCGCAGCCACGGCCTCTGCATCTTGATGATCTCTTTTCCAGAAACAACGTTATAACGAAATAGAAGAAACCTCAGTCATCCACGGGGAAAGCAGTGCTTTCCAGCATTTAAGCGCATTTCTGAATGCACTGAGATACACGGCATTTGAATGTAAACTTTATGTCTATTTTGGCTTCCAGAGATCACTCTCTCTAGAGCTTAAACTACACAGAGTCTCCTACAATGAGTGAAGAACAGACCCCAAAACACAAAGCATTTTCCTGGCTGCCCACCCACCAGGCCTTCAGCATGCATAGCTCACTCTCAGGCCGAGAAACAGCACACGCGTGCAGACCCCAGCCTCGTTCCCTGCACCGCCCACCGGCACCTCCCCACGAGCCGGACCGAAGAGGGACCCGGTAGCCCATCGCAGCCTCTGACAGTGCTCAGGAGCAGACCACAGCCAAAAGTCCCAGTCACCCATGGAATTTGGAGGAGGTTAGAAATGTTTCTGTTGTATGATTTCAGGACATCAAGACGCTATTTTTAGGCGTGTGAGTCATCACAGTGTTCCCTGACAAGAGCCAGCCCCAGCACGTGCACGACACCCACAGCGATGGGCTCGTGGAAAACAAGCTCAGCCCGGCTCACGGTGCCCGGAGATCCACCTGGCACCCATCAGTGACCACAGTTCAGGGCGTCGGGTCTTGGCCTGAGCAAGGTGAGGGACAAAGTAGCCCCAGGCAGCAGGCAGGGAGAAGACATGTCCTCTGCCCTGGGAGCAGCAGCTTTGCCCTGTGAGGGCTACGTGGGGCCAGTGCCTCCTGCTCAGCCCAGGACACCCACGGCCGGGCACACAGAGGGCAGGTGCTCAATCCCCATCTCCTGGAGGCCTGGAGTCAGCGGGGCCTGGGGAGGCAGGGCAGATAGATAAGGCAGCCGCCCGGAGGGAACGGCCTCCCTAGAGCATCACACTCACCCCACCAGCACACACGAGCACACACGAGTGCAAAGGAGAGCACACACAAGCACAGAAGGGCACACGGGAGTATACGAGGGCACAGAAATGCATACAGAGCATGTGCAAGCACATGCGAGAGCACCCCCGTCATATTCCATAGCAGCCGGACACCCTGATACCCTCCTTGATGAAGCTTCGTGCCCATAGCCTGGGCCCTGGCTCTGAGGTGGCTTTGAGGACTGACTGGAAGCTCGCGTGCAGCACTGAGCTTCGCCTGGCACCACAGGTCCCTGAATAGCATCGCTACGTTCAGCATCCTTTCCTTAGAACACTGATGAAAAGAAATCTGGATTTGGGCAGAGCACTGACTGTGCTCAGGGGCGTGTCCCCCACATCTGCATGGTTCTCACCAGTTCACTGTACAGACAGCAGCCGCAGCCATAGACAGCACCAGGCCCTCCCACTGCTGTGTGATCCCCCAGGAGCCAGCCGCACAGCCAGCCCCTGCCCTCTGCCCCGCCCTGTGTCCCTGAGAGTGTCACTCACCTTTTCTCATCCTGTGGCTTGGGGAGGTTAGAAAATCTGATAGAAGGTTAGAAAACCTTCACGCACAGGTGCGATGGCTCACATCTGTAATCCCAGAGGCCGAGGCAGGTGGATCGCTTGAGGTCAGGAGTTCGAGACCAGCCTGGCCAACATGGCAAAACCCTGTCTCTATTAAAAATACAAAATTAGCCGGGCATGGTGATGGGCATCTGTAATCCCAGCTACTGGTGAGGCTGAGGCAGGAGAATCAGTTGAACTCAGGAGGCAGAGGTTGCAGTGAGCCAAGATCAGAGTGAGACTCTGTCTCAAAGAAAAGAAAAAAAAAATGAAAGTTTAGAAAAGCACACTTCCACAGCACGTGGCTTTAGTAGGGCTCTTCTACTGAAGGAGCACCCAGTGGCCAGGGCTGGAAATTTTAAACTAAGAACAATAATAGTAATAATAATAAATTCTATTCCATAGAATAGAATAAATATCCATGAGCTTAAGCTGATAAAAATAGGTAATCAAATAAGTACATAGGGTGGGGAGAGACAGCCCTTTCTCACAGGAGACTCCCAGTTACTCAGTGTGGAAGGAAAGAAGAAACGGGAAAAGCAGGAGCACCACCATTTGGCAAGCAGCACGGGAAGAAGCGTAGAAGGCAGTGTTCTCAAGGGAGCTGAGATCGGCAGGCAAAAGTATGAGAAACTGGCTATTTCCGTAGTCCCCAGATACCTTTTCATAAGACACCAAATCATGGCAAAGGGGAAAATCCCAAGCTGACAGGGGAGATGCCCGGCAGATGCCACCTACCTGTGTGGTCAAAGTTGCACCACCAGGAGTGAGGCTGGGGGACGTCACGTGCCTGCCGGGAGGCCCCAGAAGGACATTTGGCATTCTGGCCAAAAATGCATAATTTTAATTTATTCATGAAGAAACATCAGACGAACCCAAACAGAGGGGCATCCTATAAAATCAGCTCTCCAGAGCTGCCATGGTCATTGAAGAGGAATCTACAGGGAGGAAGAACTCCCCCAGCTGGGCAGCGACAAATGACACAGCAGCTAGAAGCAACCTGGGCCCTGAAATGGGTCTGGGACCAGAAAAGAGGCAATCACAGGGAAATTGGTAGCATTCACACAAGGCCTGTAGACCGGCTGGTAATAGTGTCATCTGCTATGTGACTGTAAGTTTAACACAATGAATTACGTAACCGCAGCCTTCAGGGAAGCTGGGTGGAGGGTAGGGCAGACACTTTATACTAGTTTTGCTATTTTTGCAACTCTTTTGTAAGCATGAGATTATTTCCAAGGTGTATTAGTCTGTTTTCACACTGCTATGAAGAAATACCCAAGACTGGGTACTTTATAAAGGAAAGAGGTTTAATTGACTCACAGTTCCTCATGGGTGGGGAGGCCTCAGGAAACTTACAATGACAGTGGAAGGCAAAGGGTAAGAAAGCACCTTCTTCACAAGGTGGCAGGAGAGAGAAGCGCAAAGGAGGAACTTCCAGACACTTATAAAACCATCAGCTCTCATGAGAACTCACTATGATGAGAACAGCATGGGGGAACTGCCTGTGCGATCCAATCACCTCCCTCCCTGGACACATAGGGATTACAGGTCAAGATGAGATTTGGGTGGGGACACAGAGCCAAACCATATCGCAAGGGAAAAGCTAAGAGACAAAGGAAGGCCACTGACTAATGGGCGTTCTTCACCATCCTTGCTCTGGATTTGTCTCACCAAGGGCGTTGCCCAAGCCAAACCCCCAAGTTGAGAAGCAGGACTTTCTGTGGTTTCATCTGCAGATGGAGTCCTTTCTCAGCCCCTGGCCTCACCTCCATTCGCCGGGGACCTCACAGGGACCTGGCCGGGCCATCCTGCTGGGACTTACTCTGCTTCAGGGCCCCATTAACTAAGGGCATCAGCGACTTGCCCTACACCAGCCCCTGGGTCCTTCTGTCCACCCTGCTCCACACAGGAGCATGACCTTCCTGGAAAACTATGATAGTGACCACCCTGCACATCTGATTTGCCTGCCTCCTCCAAGTGGATCCCATCCTCTGCCTGCAGCCTCCACCAAAAAGCCTGGCAGGAGTTCCCGAGTCCTGAGTTCTGAGCCAGGTGTTTTGATGTTTTTGCAGACTGGTTTTAAAGATTATGGGGTGAAAGCAAAACAAGAAGGAAGGAATGTTCTCTATGGACTTGCCTGTAGTCACTCAACAAAGCTGATGAACCCCAGGAGCTGCCCTCAGCTGCCCTGGGTGCAGAGGGTCCTGCTCCCACTCTCAGGCACAGAGTCTCAGGCCAAAGGGCTGAAGGCAGAGCTCGCTTTGTTCTGCCGGGGCTCAGAGTCTCCTGGGCACACTCCCCCAGCTCCATGCTCCCACTCAGGAGACCATCAGGGGATGACGGGCCAGGGGCAGGGCACGTACACTGCCACCTGGGGCATGGTGGCCGGTGCTCCCCAGAGGTATGAGGGGCACCAGAAAACGACTACAGGTGAATCAGGTGTGGGGAGAAGGTATTATTGTAAACATGTATACAATAATTTTTTTAGTTTTGTTGTTGTTGTTTGGAGATGGAGTCTCACTGTGTTGCCCAGGCTGGAGTGCAGTGGCACAATCTCAGCTCACTGCAGCCTCTGCCTCCTGGGTTCAAGTGATTCTCCTGCCTCAGCCTCCCATGTAGCTGGGATTATAGGCGCGCACCACCACGCCCGGCTAATTTTTGTATGTTTAGTAGAGATGGGGTTTTGCCATGTTGGCCAGGCTGGTCTCGAACTCCTGGCCACAGGTGATCCGCCCACCTCAGCCTCCCAAAGTGCTGAGATTATAGACATGAGCCACTGCACCGGGCCAAAACATGCTTTTTAAATCACAAAGGAAAGCCGTCAGGGATGCATGTTACATGCCCCATGTTTGCATACTTACCGGAGCAGCCCCTGACAGCGCATCCTGCGGCCCTCTTCAGTCTCACCCATGGCCGAGGACCTCACCCTCTGCCTGCCGCCCCCGGGACGTAGCCTCCCACCACCCGCTCACCCTCAGTCACACTCGGCTCCATGTGAGTGACGCCTCTTGGCTGGAAGCTTCCTGGGGTCACTGTCCACATGCCACGAGGCCCCATCCCCCCACCCCACCCTCCACATGCCACGAGGCCCCATCCCCCCACCCCACCCCACGGGGCCACCCTCTTCGAAGCTCCTTCAAACACACGCCCGCGCCCCCATCTGCTCTTTCTGGAAACGCACAGAACCCTCTGCGGGAACTCAGAATGGAGCACTCGGTTCTCCCGTCATGAACGAATTGTTCCTATTGGCGCTCAGAGCGAGTGTCTGTGTTGTGGGCAAAGAGCATTAGAAATGTGTCATGGAAAGAAGAGACTTCTAATTAAAGCCTCTAACAACAGGGCCAAGAAACCGAAGGTCACGGGCGAGGCGCTCACAGCCCCGCCTTCTGCATCTCTAGACGGAGTCTGCCGAGCCAGGCGCAGCCCTGGGACCTCAGGGACCGAGGTCGAGGCTCCGTCGCGGCCTCTGCTCCCACTCTGAACTCGCCGCCTGTGGGTGCCTCCTCTTCTCCCCATGCCCCTCCTCCGACCCCGGGCCCGTGTTCCTGGCGGCTTGCGCCCCACCTGCCGCGTGTGTGAGCTCGTCCCTGTCGCCACGCTCGAGGTGGCGGTGTGGCTGCGTCGGTTCTCGCCGCCTTTGAGCCGGCCCGGGCTGCGCGCAGCCTCCCGCGTGCCTGGAGAGGCGAGTGCTGCGGGCACCACCCCTGCGCCCCGAGACCCCGGGAAACTCCTGCCGCGCCCTCTTCTTGCACTTACTCGGAGCCTGTGAGGTGTGTTCGCGGGCTTTCTGGTGTCTGTGAAAGGAACCGGGGGGACATCGATCCGTTTCAAACACACGCCTGTGTCCGTGAGGAGTCCGAGAGGCAGAGCTGGAGCGTCGCCCGGAAGCTGCCCTCTGTGGCCATGAGCGGGTGTCCAGCCCCTTCCAAGGCTGCACCGGGGAGACGCTGGTTTTCTGCTCGCTGTGACCGAACAAAGCCCCTAAGAGTCAGTGCGCGGAACAGAAGAGCCGGACCCCGACGGGCCGAGTCCCAACGTGAGGCACCCGGCAGAGAAAACACGTTCACGGCCCCAGCCTTCCGCAGCCACAGAAGAACACGCACGGGGCCACGCGGCGTTCACAAGGGATTCATGGCTGTGTTTGAAGTTTTTTTTTTTTTTTTCTTTTTTTTTCCAGTGAGACAAGTTTTACTGAAAACTTTTCCTATCTGGCTCATCAGATCTCAGGCCGTCTCTGGTGGTTTTAGCTCCTTTAATTTAATTAACTTTAAAAGAGCTGGAGAGTATTAGTAAAATATACTCCCTGGTCACAACTCCACGAATGTTAACAACCTGTCCAATTACAGGGAAGGGGGTCCCGACCCCTCGCACCTGCTAATTAAAATTGCTAATCACCAGCAATTATCTGGCCGAGCTTTAGAAACCATTTGACCCTTCGCCCACCAAGGGAGCGATGTTTGCGGCCCCTCCCCGGAGCCGAGCCAAGCTGTCCCCAGCGCCTGCCTATTAAGTGCCACTAATAGGAAATCAACAAAAGCGCCGTGACATCTGTGTAGACGTCCCAGGCCCCAGGTCTGAGTGCACAGGTGCTGGCCATGAGGCTGCCAAAGAAAGTGCCAAGAGCAGGAAATTCACCAACAATGAGGCGGACTGTGCTCGCGGCGGAATCGGCAGCCCCATCACCCGCAGCCGCGCCTTGGCCTCCGGATAATTAGGTCCCCAAACCAGGCAGCCCTTTGTCCTGAGCGGCTGGCTGGCCAAAAGCATTGGACAGGGATTTTAAAAATCTCTTCTTTTTAATGACTCTTCTCCCTGCTCAAGCATAAATGAAAGATGTTATTTTTTTAAAAAGTCCTCTGAGAGGATCTCAAATGTGTAGCCCTTATGTTGTAGGGAGAGTGGGGTTTCCTACTCTTACTGCTGGCGTGCAGAAGTGTCCTTTCATTGCTGGCTTGAAGCGGGCTCACAGAAGAGACGGTGATTGTGATCTGCTACTAGGAAAAAGTTCTGGGATAGTTCGGGCTCCCAAAAGGCAGCTTCCTGGGAAGCTCGTAGGTTTTAGCACCCCAATCCATAGGTTTCTGCAGTGCCTGCTTCTTCCCCGCAATATGATCTTTTAAAAACACCCCTCGGCCCATTCAGCAGATTCACAGACACATCACACTTTCTTTCTTGCCGTTTGAGGATGAGATGGTCTAAGTTTAGAAATTCATCCTAGGAGTGGTTTCAACAGCTCTGGATATAAAAACAGCGCAAGAAGGAAATGTAAATGTAGCTGAGTGGGACGCGTGTGATTTCAGACCCAATTACCGGCAGACTGCAAAGGAGACAGATGCAGATGGCTCCAGATGCGGGGAAGTGCGCTCCGGTCGAGGGCCGTGATTGGGGATGATCATCGCCTACAGCGGCCTTTGGTCCTTTATGAAAAAATAAAGTGAATAAAATAGTTTTACCCCATGGGTTTCAATTCCCTGCTCACCCTCTCTTGGCCTCCCCCTCCATCTCCCTGCAGCCTGGGTGAGACCTTCAGTCCGCAGGCGGGCATTGAGGCCTCGGCACAGTCTGGCCTTATTTCTACAAGGGGAGAAGGAGCCTGACACGGTCAGAGTTTTGCCAAAGCCACGGCCATTGCCAAAGTCCACTCTCCACGTGTGTCTTGGCTGGAGTGGCTGGTTTCTGGAATTCAACATGTAAAGGCACCAATGATCCCTCTGGAAACCCAGAAAAAGGCAAGTTGGAGGCTACTGCCGCGTTCCACCTGGCGTCTGTCCCCACGCCACAGCTGGGCACCTCCACCCTCCCCCCACACAGAGAGGGGACTGCCGGACACAGGCTCCAGAGAACAGGGCTGCCAAGACCTACGGAGGCCTCCCCATCCCTGTACTGGGGAACTGAGATGAAAGCCACCCCCGCATTTGTCCAGAATGAGTGGAGACTGGACTTCAGAGCTGGACCCACCTGTGGGGCTGAGCAGGGGTCGGTAGGCATTTGTTGAAGGTGTTCCTGCCCCTCCCAGCCCCTGCCTGGCTTCCGCACTAGCCCCGGCACCTGGGATCCTGCATTTTCTTCCTAATCCTTTATCCAAGGCCGAGCTTGATAGTTCTGCCTATTCTCCTTCCCCACGTTTTCCTCCCCTCTACCTAACAGGTTTCTGGGCTTCTGACCCATACCCCTGACCTCACCACAACCTTTGTTTTCAGTGTGGTAAATACATAAACCAGGACCATAATTGTTGATGATCATTCTCAAGTACTATGTACTGTACACAGCTGTCTGTGCTAGACTCTTACATGCCGGCCACGCAGCAGGTTTGTTCACACCAGCATTACTGCACCCACGTGAGTGATGCACTGTGTGACCCCAGGATGGCTGTGATGTGACAAAGCCCAGCACACACAATTAGCTATAGCAGTCATATTTGATAATGGTAACAAACGATCATGTCACAGGTTGGTGTATTTATTATGCTGTACTTCTCATCATTATTTTGGAGTACTGCTCTTTCTATATATGTGTAAGTCAACTGCAGAACAGCCTCAGACAGGTCCTTCAGGAGGTGTCCAGAAGAAGGCATTGTCATAGATGACGGCTCCGTGTGTGTCACTGCCCCTGAAGACCTTCCAGTGGGACAACATGTGGGGGCGGAAGACAGTGATGTCGACGGTCCTGACCCCAGGACCCGGCCGAGGCTAATGTGTGTGTTTGTATTTTTGTTTTTAACAAAAAAAAAATTTTTTAAGTAAAAAATTAAAAATAGAAGAAAAGCATATAGAATAAAGATACAAAGAAAATATTTTTGTACAGCTGTACAATGTGTGTTTTAAGCTGAGTGTTATTATAAGAGTCAAAAAATTAAAAGTTTATAAAAGTAAAAAAAGTCATAGTAAGCTAAGGTTAACGTATGATTTAAAGAAGAAAACTATTTTTGGTCAGTGTAGTGCACCGAAGGGTACAGCGTTTGTGAGTCACCCGTAGAGCGCAGTCATGTCCGAGGCCTTCACAGCCAGTCCCCACCCACTCCCTGACTCACCCAGAGCAACTTCCAGTCCCGCAGCTCCATTCGTGGGAGGTGCCCTGTGTAGGTGTGCCCGTTTTTATCTTTTGTACTGTATTTTCACTGTATTTTTTCTATGTTTAGATATATTTAGACACATAAGGGCTTACCATTGTGTTGGAGTTGCCTACAGTGTTCAGTAGAGTCACACACTGTGCAGGTTTGTAGCCTAGGAGTCAGAGGCTGCACCATAGAGCTGAGGTGTGCAGCAGGTGCTACCATCTAGGTTTGAGTCAGCACGCTCTACATCAGGGGTGTTCAATCTCTTGGCTTCCTTGGGCCACATTGCAAGAATTGTCTTGGGTCACATGTAAAATTCACCAACACTAATGATAGCTGATGAGCTAAAAAAAAAAAATCTCATACTGTTTTAAGAAAGTTTACGAATTTGTGTTGGGCCACATTCAAAGCCATCCTGGGCCACATGCGGCCCATGGGCCATGGGTTGGACAAGCTTGCTCCAGATGTCCACACAGTGATGAAATTGCCTAACAACACATTTCTCAGAAATCGCCCCGCGGTTAAGCAACGCATGGCTATATCTTTGGATTCCCATGTCATAACTAACCTTAAATAAACTGCCTAATTGGTGTATCATCAAAGAAGATCCACATGTAACTGAAAAGGCCATTAAAAGACTCCTCTTACCAACTGTGTATCTGAGAGAATGGAATTATCTTCATCCACTTCCACCAGAAAGAGATGTGAGAATCCACTGACTCCTGCTAAGCCAGGCATGAAAGAGATTGGCAAAGGCACACACACCAAGACCACTCTTCTCATTAAATTTTTTGTATTTGGAAAATATCACTTTTAATAAAAATATGCTAGGTTTACACAAAATGTATTTAATATTTTAAATTTCTCAGTTTTCGTAGTTATTATTGTAAGCACATTAAGAGCGCAAAGTTGCCCAGAGACTAGGCCACTTGAGAACAGCAGCTCCACCCTCCCACATCCGTGCTGTGAAGCCACCCCACGCCAGAGGCAGGCCAGGATTCGGGCACGCGTTGGAGAATTACTTCCCCTGGAAGCTGGAGAGCCTTTGGAATGAGATCCAGAAAAGCTGCCACCATCAAGATCACCGCCTCCTCTGTGTGCCTCTTTCAACCCAGCACCGAAACACCACCATCCTGTGGGCCCAGAAGCTTTGGCCTGGCTCTCAGAAGGATGCTCAAGCAGCTCCTTGGTGAGAACCATGGCAGGGAACGGCACCGGGGCCTCCAATGTGGTGCAGGTGAGCTGCACACAGCTGAAGGAGATAAATGATGTTTTGCACATCGGCCACAAAACCAGATTAAGGAACTTCTGGTTCCAGACAACATGAAGTAGGTCCATTTCTCTCTATTCCCCTCACTAAGAACAGCTAGAACTGTATGTATTATACATCAAACACTCAAGAAAAAGCTGTGAAAATTCGAGAAGGCAGACGGACTAGAGACAGCAGGACCTGAGGAAACATGTAGCATTTTCTTTATCCTCACTGAGGCCTGGAGAGTCCAGCCACGCAGAAACACTAACAGACACAGACCCAACAAAAGGCCAAAGAAAAGCCAGTTCTCTCTCTAGGTCAAAGGAATGGAGCAACTTAGCAGGAAGGAAAATTTTTCAACAACAATGGCCTCCTCCAGCCAAGCACCAGAGGAGAGGTTGTGGCCCCGCCCACACTCCTGATGGGTGGATCAGCAGAGACCTGATGGAGAGTCTGACCTCCACCCCCTGCACTCAGAAGGCACCTCCCAACACCCCAGGTGTCAGGGCACCTGTGGAGGAACCCAGACTTCTATGGCTAATTGACAGTAATGAGGCAACAGCCTCCTCTCCTGATGGTGTGCTGTCAGAGGAGACCTGCTGAAGCAGAAGGTGAACATAAGAACGTGGTGTGATACTGAAGATGTTGAGATACAATTAAAAATCATCATCTGGTGATTCCTCAAAGACCCAGAGCCAGAAATACCGTTTGACCCAGCAATCTCATTACTGGGTATATACTCAAAGGAATATAAATCAGTCTATTATAAAGACATATGCATGTGTATGTTCATTGCAGCACTATTCACAATAGCAAAGACATGGAATCAATCCAAGTGCCCATCAATGATAGACTAGACAAAGAAAATGTGGTACATACACACCATGGAATACTGCACAGCCATAAAAAGGATGGGTTCATGTCCTTTGCAGGAACATGGATGAAGCTGGAAGCCATTATCTTCAGCAAACTAACACAGGAACAGAAAACCAAACACCACATATTCTCACTTACAAGTGGGAGCTGAACAATGAGAGCACATGGACAGAGAGAGAGGAACAACACACACCAGGGCCTGTGGTGGGGGCAGAGGGAGGGAGAGCATCAAGAAAAATAGCTAACACATTCTGGGCTTAATACCTAGATGATGGGTTGATAGGTGCAACAAACCACCATGGCACACATTTACCTATGTAACAAACCTGCACACCCTGCACATTGTACCCCAGAACTAAAAATAAAATAAAATGAAAACCACTCATCATACTAAGAATCTGGAAAATCTCAACTTAAATGAGAAAAGACAAGCAACAGACACCAACTCTGACGTGGCACAGATGCTGGAACTATCAAACAAGCAATTGTCACAATTACAAACCTGCTGGAAACATATGTGAAAATAGAAAGCATCAGCAAAGAAACAGAAGATACAGCAAAGAACCAAATGGAAATGTTAGAACTGAAAAGTATGATAATGCAAATAAAATAACCTGCTGGATGGGCTCAACACAAGAATGTAGAAGACAGAGGAAATAGCCAATGAACTTGAGGATGGAACAGTAGAAATTACCCAATCTGACCAGCAGAGAGAAGACAGGTTAAAAAAAAAAAAAAGAATAAAATGCCTCCAGTATCTTGGAAGTAAAACAACAACCTAACATTCGTGTTGTTGGAACCCCAGAAGAAGAGGAGAATGAGGACGAGGCTGGAAAAGTATCTAAAAAAATAATGGAAGAAAATTTCCCAAATTTGGCAAAAATCATACACTTCAGAATCAAGAACCTGAGCAAAGCCAAGGCACAGCCCGTATCCCAGTCAAACTTCAGAAGCTGCAGGCAATGAAAAACTCCCAAAAGCAGCCAGAGAGAAAGGAGGCATCACTCATAGGGAAAAAAAATACAAAAGATAGCAAATTTCTCATCAGAAACCCTAGAGACTAGTCCCAATAGGGCACAAATTCTTCAAGGGCTGAAAGAAAAGAACTATCAGCCCAGAATACTATATGCAGCAAAGATTTCCTCAAGACTTAAGGGAAAATCATGACATTCTCTGATGAAGAAAAATGGAGAAAATTTATCACAATCAGACCTGTCTTAAAACAATGGAGAGAGGAAGTTCTCTAAACAGAAGGGAAATGATGGAAAAGGGAATCTCTAAAGGTGAGGAAGGAAGGAACAGCGACAGAAAGAAAGGAAATGCTGGTGGAGACAACAGACCTTCCTCCTCCTCCTGAGGTTTTTGAGGTTTTTTGTTTGTTTTTTGGTTTTTTATTGTTGTTGTTGTTGTTGATGTTGTTGTTGTTGTTTGAGATAGAGTTTTGCTCTTGTTGCCCAGGCTGGAGTGCAATGGTGTGATCTCAGCTCACTGCAACCTCTGCCTCCCAGATTCAAGCAATTCTCCTGCCTCAGTCTCCCAAGTAGCTGGGATTACAGGCGCCCATCACCATGCCCGGCTAATTTTTGTATTTTTAGTGGAGACAGGATTTAGCCATGTTGGCCTGGTTGGTCTCAAACTCCTGACCTCAAGCAGTCCACCCACCTTGGCCTCCCGAAGTGCTGGGATTACAGGCATGAGCTACTGCCCCCAGCCTCCTCCTGAGCTTTCTAAACTTTGTTTGAAAGTTTGAGCAAAAATAATCATGCTGTGATTCCCAATGTATGTGTAGGAAATTGCAAAACAATGATTTTACAAAGGCAGGAGGTGATAATGAACTTACAGAAATGTAAGATTTCTGCAGTTCACTCAAACTGATAAAATGTCAACACTAAAATAAAATAAAATAAAAAGTTTTAAATTAAAAAAAATAATTCAAAGACTAGACAATTTTAGAAGAGAAAACCCACTAAGGATAAGCGCAGTCCCTGAAATGAAGAATGTGTGATGGGCATCACCGGTGGGGGCTGGGGGCATGTGCCAGGGCAGTGCTCAGTCCCTGGAGCGAAGAATGGGTGATGAGCATCACCAGTGGGGGCTGGGGGAGTGTGTCAGGGCAGTGCTGGTGGCATCTGTCTGCCACCATGGAGACTCATCAAGGAAAACGGTGCTGTCTCCAATTTATGGGTCAAGACAGATCTGGCGACTTGCAAAGTCCAGCATCCAAAAGCCAGGAAGTGACTGAATGAGAATTCAAACCCGAAACCCACCTTATCTTCTCCCAGTGCTGTGTGGCTCCATGGCACCTGTCTGTGTCCAGCATCCCCTCTTATTCATGGGGACTCACTGCAAGACCCCAGTGGATGCCTGAAGACGAAGCTCCTTCGGAACCCCGTGCAGGCACACCTCATTTTATTGTACCTCACTTTATTGTGCTTTCCAGATACTGTGGGGTTTTGTTTATTTGTTTTTTACAGGTTGAAGATTTGTGACAACCTTGCGGTGAACAAGACTGACAACACGATTTTTCCAGCAGCAGGTGCTCACTTCATGACCCTGTGGCACATTTTTGTATTTTCACAATATTTTAAAGTTTTCATCATTATTCCATCTGTTATGGTAGTCTGTGATCAGTGACCTTTGATGTTACTATTGTAATTGTTTTAAGGTGCCACAAACAGTGCCCATATAAGACAGTGAACTTCACGGAGAAACATTGTATGTTCTGACTATTCCATCAACCAATCGTCTCCCCACCTCCCTCCTTCTCTTCAGTCCTCTCTATTCCCTGAGACACAACAATATTGAAATTAGGCCAGTTAAGAACCTTACAATGGCCTCTAAGTGTTCCAGTAAAAGAAAGAGTCGCACATATCTCACTTTAATCAAAAGCTAGAAATGATTAGCTGAAGGAGGAAGGCATGTCAATTGCTGAGATGCCAAAACCTAGGCATCTTGCACCAAATAGCCAAGTTGCAAATGCAAAGAAAAAATTATTGAACAGAATTAAAAGTGCTACTCCAGTGAGCACACAAATGATGAGAAAGTGAAACAGCCTTATTGCTGATGTGAAGAAAGTATGAGTGGTCTGGACAGGAGATGAAACCAGCACAATATTCCCTTAAGCCACAGCCTAATCCAGAGCAACCCCCCAACTCTCTTCAGTGAAGAGAGTTGTGGAGACTGAGAGAGGTGAGGAAGCTGCAGAAGAAAAGTTGGAAGCTAGCAGGAGTTTAGTTCATGAGGTTGAAAGAAAGAAGCCGTCTCCATAACATAAAAGTGCAAGGTGAAGCAGCAAGTGCTGATGGAGAAGCTGCAGCAAGTTCTCCAGAAGCCCCAGCTGAGGTCACTGATGCAGGTGGCCACAATAACAACAGATTTTCAACATAGAAGAAACAGCCTTCTGTTGCAAGAAGATGCCATCTAGGACTTTCATAGCTAGAGAGGAGACGTCAGTGCCTTCCTTCAAAGCTACAAATCACAAGCTGACTCTCTTGTAAGGAGCTAATGCAACCAGTGACTTTAATGCAACTGGTGACTTTAAGTTGAAGCTAATGCTCATTGACCACTTCAAAAATCCTAAGGCCGTTAAAAATTATGCTAAATCTACTCTACCTATGCTCTATCAATGGAATAACAAAGCCTGGATAACCGCATATCTGTTTACAGCATGGTTTACTGAATATTTTAAGCCCACTGTAGAGACCCACTGCTTGGACAAAAAAAAGACTTATTTTAAAATATTACTGCTCATTGATAGTGCATCTGGTCACCCAAGAGTGCCAATGGAGATGTACAAGGAGATGAATATTGTTTTCATGCCTGCTAACAAAACATCCATTCTGCAGCCCATGGATCAAGGAGTGATTTTGACTTTCAGGTCTTTTTTTTTTTTTTTGAAAATGCATTTTGTAAGGCTATAGCTGCCAGAGAGAGTGATTCCTCTGATGGGTCTGCACAAAGTAAATTGAAAACCTTCTGGAAAGGTTGCACCATTCTAGATGCTACTAAGAACATTGGTGAAGTGAAATTTGAAACCAAAATGTCAGCATTAACAGGAGTTTGGAAGAAGTTGATTCCAACCTTCATAGGTGACTTTGAGGGGTTAATGACATCACTGGAAGAAGGAACTGCAGATGAGGTGGGAACAGCAAGAGAACTAGAATTGGAAGTGGGGCCTGGAGATGTAGCTGAACTGCTGCACCTTCATGAGAAAACGTAAATGGATGAGGAGTTCTTCCTCATGGATAAGCAAAGAAAGTGGGTTCTTGAGATGAACTGGTGAAGATGCTGTGAACATTGTTGAAATGACAACAAAGAATTTAGAATATTACATAAACTTAGTTGATAAAGCATTGGCAAGGTTTGAGAGGACTGACTCCAATTTTGAAAGTTCTACTGTGGGTAAAATGCTATCAAATAGCATTACATGCCACAGAGAAAACTTTGATGAAGGGAGGAGTCCATCAACGTGGCGACCTTCACTGTCTTATTTTAAGAAATTGTCACAGCTGCCCCATCCTTCGGCAATCACCACCCTGGTCAGTCAGCAGCCACCCATATTGAGGCAAGACCCTCCAACAGCAAAGATTACAACTTGCTGAAGGTCCGGATGATTGTTAGCATTTTTTAGCAGTAAAGTATTTTTCAATTAAGGATTGCACATTGTTTTTAGACAGAATGCTACTGCACACTTAATAGGCTACAGTACAGTGTAAACTTTATATGCACCAGGAAACCAAAAAGTTTGTGTGAGTCACTTTATTGCAATATTCTCTTTATTGCAGTGGTCTAGAACTGAACCTGCAATATCTCTGAGGTATGCCTGTATGTACTGTTTTTTCCTATACCTGTATACTCACGATAAAGTTTAATGTATACATTAGGCACGGTAAGAGATTAACAACAATGGCTAATAACAAACTAGAACAGTTATAGCAATCTACTGCAATAAAAGTTATGTGAATGTGCATGTTCTCTCTCTCTCTCCCCCCCCTCCCCCTCTCCTTCTCTCTCTCCCTCTCCCTCTCTCTCTCTCCCTCTCCCTCCCTCTCTCTCCCTCTCTCTCCCTCTGCCTGTCTCTCCCTCCCTCTCTCTCCCTCTCTCCCTCTCTCTCTCCCTCCCTCTTTCTCTCTCTCCCTCTCTCTCTCTCTCTCCCTCTCTCCCTCTCTCTCTCTCTCTTTCCCTCTCCCTCTCCCCCCGCCTCTCTCTCTCTCTCTTTCTCCCCCTGATACCTTATTGCACTATAGTAACCGGTTTTCAGACCACACTTGGCCTTGGGTAAATGAAACACAGAAAGCAAAACCGCAGATGGGAAGGACTGTGGCTTAAGTGTAAGAAACTCTCAAAGCCTATGTATGTTTTCTTGTACCAAAATCTGAGAACGGTTTCATGATTGTTAAAGAACCATAGTGATTAGAAGGAAAATAACTGGGAAATCAACTGATTTCTGTCTATTTTGTAATTTCTAGGACAACGGTGCTCAGGGTGCTGCTCATTCGGGATTCGCCGAAACCCCTGCTCCTCAGAGCCCAGCCCAGAGCCTGGACCCGGCTCTCAGGCCCCCCAGTCAGCCTGTGTGAAGTCTAATGTCACAGCTGTGTCCTGTGTGCGGCCAGGGGCGGCCGGGATTGAGAATGCTGCTCCAGGGTGATGCCAGATCTTCACCTGAATTCAAAACCCATTTGAAATGTCGCTGTGAAAACCAAAAGAAAAGCAAGGGACAGAGCCCCACGGCGCCGCGCTGGCCCCTGCCACAGACCCAGCCCTGTCCTCATCAATTCTCGCTACCACGAAAGTGTCCTGACCTCATGAGGTCTCACTTTCCTCGCTGCAAAATGGGAACAGTCCCACCCTTTCCTGGTGTGATCAGGATTAAACTAGAGGAGGGGGTTGGGCAGTGGTCCTAAGCCCCAGACCCTAAGAAGGAGACCGTGTCTGGGGAAGGCTTCTCTGCAGATGTAGCTAAGGACCTGGAAAGGAGATTGTCCTAGATTAGGGCGGGCCCCGCATCCAACGCCAGGTGTCCTTCTAAGAGACACGGGAAGTGAAAGCACAGCACAGTGTGGCCGCGAGAAAAACGAGGCAGAGACCAGCGCGATGCAGAGCAAGCCAAGGAGCTCCCGCGCCACAGGAGGCTGGAAGGGGCAGGAAGGACCCTCCCTGGCCCCCCGGAGGGAGTGGGGCCCTGAGACGCCTGGATTTCTGACTTCTGACCCCAGAACTTTGAGGGAAGGAATTTCAGTTTTAAGCCAAGCACCGGGGCAATCTCCAACAGCAGCCACGGGCGGCTCCAGGCACTGGCTCATGTCTGGGGGGGTCTCTGCGTAAGCGGCCATGGATGCCTAGTAGCCACGCTTTCAGAGACTTATTCCGAAGCCCCCCCTCCACCTGCCCTCGGCGTGAGAAGCAGCCTTCGAGCCTAGGTTGGGACTAATGAAAACGCAGATTAAACAGCGTCCTCCCTCCGGGCGGGCCTGAAGACCACCTTCCCTTCCAGGCGGGCAGCGATGCCCGAGAGCCCAAGGTCCCGGGACCTGGTGCAGGAAGAGCCGCCTGCGCGGGGGAGACGCGGGGATCACCGGCCACACCCCGGACGCTCAGTCGGGGCCTTACTCGGGGGGGCGGCAGCCCCAGCCTCCCGGGAATCCAGGGACGTCGCGGCGTGGCCCGGGTCTGCCCCCAAGACGCTGCGTCCTAGGCCCTGCCCAGGGCGGATGGGGTCCGCGTGAGTGAGGCGAGTCCACGGGGCAGGCCGGGGTCTGCGGGGGAGGAAGCCGACAGCAGCGCCCCTGGGCCCGCGGGGCCAGGCCGGGGAGGGACGGGGAGGGGACCCGAGCCCACCGCGCGCCCTCCGGGGACTCCCCACGCACAGGGCAGGTGCTAGCCAGGCGCCCACGGGAGACGCCCCTTCTGCCGCCCGGAAAGTGGGAATAAAACAAGACAGGACAAACGCTTCACGTGCAGCTTTGGGAGTGGAAAGGAATCATTCATTTTCCCTCTTCTTAACAGAGGGTGTTTCCAAGTAAGGATGCATCACTTCAAAAGCTTGTGTTACTTTCGTAATTAAAAATACATCTGGTAAAAGAATTTGAGTACCTTTCTATCTAACCGGTCCGGGGAACGGGATGAAGTCGACCTTATATCCCAGTGGTCTCCGAGCCAGCCCTGGGCAGGCGCCTCTGCAGCCAAACCCATGCTCATCTCAGGATCCTTCTGCAGGATGAAGGACCGAACACAGGGCCTCGTCTCCAAAGGTGCTCAGTAAATGGTGGCTGCCGCATGCTGGCCGCCCCCCAAACAGCCCCAGCGCGGCGTGTCCTCGCCGTCACCCTCCTCTCTGTCCAGGGCTCGGGGGAGCTTATTAATAAATAGCTGTCCCCTAGGGGTGCATACGGCCAGGGCTGCGGCCCTTCAGCGCCTCCGCCCGTTTCTCAGATGGCACAGCCCACGCCCATGCTTCTCTCCGTGGAGACCACGTCCCTGTCCTGAAAGCAGGGGGAGTTCGCACATGGGCTGGCGAAGGAATCACCTCCTCACCCCATGCCAGACCATCGTTTTCATCCTTCGTTTGTGCACGTTTTTCTAGGGATTTCTCTCGTTGACAATTCAGAGACAATGTGACCTCCATGGCCATGGAGGCCCCTGCGAAGCATGCCTTTCCTTTGTCTAACTCTTAGTGCTCAGACTTCCAAAATACGGGCTAGAACAAGCGCGCACACTCATCTCTCTGCTTCTAGTGACGAGATCCCTGCATCAGGGCTCAGTGAGGCTCAGACAGTTCTTCTCTGCCTTTTCCCTCTGCTATCCCAAAAACGCCAATGTGCAGACGAGACAGCATTTCTTAGCCTCAGGTTAGAAAAAGCACAAGATGACGCTCCCTGCGTGTACCTAGGATTCTGACATAAGCAAAAATCTTACTGAATTAACTCTCCAGGGATGAGTTGGTAATCCCGTAATCTGAAGAACAATCAGACTCTGCCACTACTGGCTGCGAACCAAGAGAAAATGTTGTACGGGCAAGCTGCTCTGGAGGGTCGTCCTCACATTACGGAGTCCAAAAGATGGTAAACAGATTTGGGAAAGTACCAGCGATGTGTCTCGTTACCAGCTCTGAAAGGGACTCGACCCTGGGTAATCAGCCAGGAAGTAAACCAGAAGGGAAATAGCTGTTACCACGGTGAGGTCTCAGCTCCTGCCTCTTCCTTGTCTGTCGCTCTGAAGAACGCGGCAAAATTGGCCTAGTAGCCCCTCTGCCTTCTGAATCAATGGTGCAAGAAAAAAAATGTTTAAATTCCTCTAACTTCTGAGCAAAAAGACTTATGTAAAAAGTCTTTTCTGTTGTTCACGACGCGTGCCCCTCACCTCCCCTGACAGGCTGTCAACATGTGAGCTTTGCCTTTACTGTGAGGAGATTTGAACCCCCAGCCCTGAGAGGAGATTTGAACCCCTAGCCTGAGTCCGCGGGTTCCACTTGTTTCCAGGAGATGGTTGCAATGACATCATAAACAGTATCCTGTGAGTTGGTCGTCTAGACTTCTGGGTTTTTTTTTTAATTATGGTAAAAAACGCATATATTAAAATTTACCATTTTAACCATTTTTCAGGGTCCAGTGCCACGGTGTCAAGTACATGCACACTGTCGTGTAAGATCTCTAGAACTCTTTCATTTCCCAAAATTGAAACTCTGCACCCCGTAAAGGACATCTCCTCACTTCCCCCGCCCCCCACCACCCTGCCCTCCGCAGCCTCTGGCTTCAGTTGTTGTTGTTGTTAACTATCAGTAAGGATCTAATTAAGGAATGCAGAAAGAAAATTCTGACCCAAGGAATTGGGGGCTGTGAAAATGAACAGAGGTCCCTCATCTGGAGGGAATGTACATAGGCCACATCAGGCCTGCCCGGGGTCTCTGTGGTGAAATTAGTAGCAAATTCTACAAAGACACTGAAATCACGGCCCCTGTGCTGGAAGCAGGTGCGTCTGCCTTTGACTAGAAAGCCTCTTCCCAGTGAGTTCTTCTTTCATGACTACTGCTGCTGGCCTCCCGTACAAAAGTTCATGTCCTCATTCAATCAGGTTGCTGTCTCCCCAGCAAGTTTAGGACTTGCTAGAACTATTTGCTTCTGTGTGTGGGATCAATCCCATGTCACTCATAGGCTAGACTTTTAAGTTTTGACATTTGGATAATGCAGCTACACAAACCTCTGTTCCCTGCCTGGGACCCCCAAGGCTGCAGTCGAGGGGCAGGAGTTCAGAGCACGGTTCAGAGTCAATGCCTATCAGGTACACTAAGGGTCCCACACGCTCTGTAGCTAACACTGTGATGTTTCTAGAATATCAGCTTCAGAGATACACAATACAGTTTTGTATTCTTTTCACATGCTGAGAACTAAACAACCATATTCATTATGTAGTTCTCCTATCAAGCAGTGGCTACTTTTCATCAAGAAATTCACAAGGTGATCAAACATTTGGGCAAGGTCACTCCTCAAGGGAGAAGGAGAGGAGCCCAGGAGAGCTGTGCTCTGGGCGGGCGCCCGGCACTAAGCTTAGATGGAAGGTGTTCAGCAGAGGGCTGGGCATGCAGCTGCGAGGTGGGCCGGGCAAAGCCCCACACACTGAAGCTTAGAAACTCGACTGCACCAGGCCTTTCTCATGTCCCTGCGCTGTGATGTGTCTGATGAGGGCAATGAGGGCAGCATTTACCTGAGCCCGTGAACACCTCCTCCACCAGACATTGGTGTGGTGGTGTCAGGCCATTCAGGCAGGGCTACGAGTTGCCTCCACCGGATGCCCCTGAGGCTCTCCAGATCACATCTGCCAGCTCCCCAGAGAGAGGACGCCGGCAAGGCAGGTTCAGAGCAGTTGCCGAGCCTCGAACAGCCTCTGCTGGACCGTTGCCGCTCCAGGGAGGCTTCAAGCAACGCCCTCCCCTGGCCGAGCCGCCCTCTCATCAGTCATCAGGAGCCGTGGGGAAATCACTCTGAGCCCCGAGGCGGGAGCTGCCGGCAATTGCCTGTGATTGATAGCACTAAATATGAAACCGCATGTACCTCATCCATGCAGCATGGAATCAGAGGCATATTGTTAGTGGGGGAGATGAATAGAACTTGAGATAACCTCGGCAAATTAGGCATATGTTAGCGTTAAGCTTTGTCAGTAAGCAGGCTATAAATTACAGACAGATTGTAACTCCATAAACTCTCCTAATGAATTGGATGACAGTGGTAATTCAATGCGAACACAGCAGCTTAACCCTTTTAAGAAGTCAGCCCCAGGCCTCCAGGATGCACCCAGCCAAAAGGCCCTGTCAAAGTCTGTCTTTAATATCTCCCTTGAGAGCATCTGCGGCAAGATAAAATAACTTCTTAACATTTTCTGCATATCAAAAACAAAAGTTCGAGACCCTATAGACAATTACATTATTTCATAGTTCATTCCTTTTTGAGTTTTTCTCCCCAGCACATAATTTTTATTATAGTTCTTTTTTCCTTAAAACGATCACACTAAATGCTAGGAAGGCAGAAGCCCTAGCGTGCCCTGCAAATGTGGGCGATTACCGAGCACATCGGGGGGTATCCTGCACTCTCAGGCTAAAGGCTCAGAGACTTTCACCAGAAGGAGAGGCGGTCTTTCCATACAAATGCACTACCTGCAGTGTCTTGTTGCAATAATGAAGTGGAATTTATAAATAAAAATAAGGTGCCGAGACAGACCCTGTGCGATTTGCGGCCATTACTGACAGAGGAACGACGTCAGTGACAGCTAAACTGAGGCTGTGAAGCTGTTTCATAATTTGCTGTATATTTTAGTAAAAGTTGCATGTAGAAATAACTGACAAATCAATGTTGATCAAAAGAAAACCTTAAATTCAAATGGGAAAATTAAAGGTAATATGTCATTATTTAAAATGTGTTGACATAGTAAAAAGCATTCTTTAGTTCCTGTTCAAAAGGAAGTAACACAAAATAGCACCAATGGGTATAATTATTGTATATCAGGTACAGCTACTGGTACTCATGTTACAAAACTAAGAATTTTAAAAATAAATTACCCTTATCTAGGTGTATTTTCTCTTCTACAGAACACAATCCTCTTTTACTACAGATGTTAAAGGAAACATGTTCTTTACTTCTTTTACCATGGTGTTAACAGTAGCCATCTCTTTCTTCATAGACCCACAGCACGTAATTCCAGCCAGACATTCAACCCCTGCGGATTTTATGTGAGCGGATCCACAGTATCATTTTCTATGGCTCTAGTAGAAGGTGTCTGTTCACAGAGCATTTCTACAGAGCCCAAGGGTCATATTTACAGTAGCGGGGAAATGAATAACAACTGTAACTATTTTACATATTCTGTTTCATCATTTGCTGTATATTTTAGTAAAAGTTGCAGGTAGAAATAACTTAGAAATATACAGCAAATTATGAAACAATGTAACTATTTTACATATTCGAGTTACACCTTTAGTCTGATGATCTTCCAGGACTTCGGAGGGCAATGTTAGAATATCGTCTGTTTCAGTGACTCAGGCGCTGCAATCATTAAGGAATCTGAACAGTGCACCTTAAAAAATCTAATCTGGAAAACAATCTATGTACTTGTCCTTTGCCACTCAGACAGGAAATGGATAAATTCTGAACTAGCAAACTTCCACCGCTTTTGTGAGGCCGAGCGCATTCTTTTGTTAAGGTCAAGCGCACAGCCGTCATCTCACCTTTCTGGGATTCACTGGAAATCACTTTGCCTTCTCGGAGGCATCAGGCACAGCTCAGCTGGCCCTGTGTGAATGGAAGCCACAGGGACGGGAGGTTTTCAAATGTAGGAAAAAGTGACCCTGCTTCCGGGACCCCTTTCCCTGTCCCCATGCCAGGGACACTCCTGGTCTCAGCCTACCCCATGTCGGCCTCCTTGGCTATTTGTCCCCTGAGGCTCCGTGCATGCACTGGGTCTCAGGCAGACATTCTGTGGTTCTGGTGACAGACAAAAACACAGCCACTGATGCTCCAAACTTTGCAAATATTCTCAGCCCCTAAGGGTGGCCCCAGGATCTGAGCAGGCCCATTGGCCTGTTTTATTTGGCTTGCCTACTACTCAGAAAAGACAAGATTTCACATAAAAATCCAGCTTCCCATCCATTCTCAAAAAATCTGAAGAGCAACCATGCAGAGCCCACTCACCAGGGAACAATGCCTGGAGCCCCATCTCTGTGATTCCTTCTTTGGCCACAGGCCTGGCAGCCAATGCAGCCCCCGCCTAGCCTGGCATGAGCCTTCCCCTCTGTCCCTCTCACCCCTGGGCCACCCACAAGGATGTCAGTGTATGAGCCCCGGATGAGAACACCTGGGGCAGGTGCCACTGGCTGGCCTTGAGTGTGACTGTCCCCTGCTGGGAATTCTTTTTCTGTGTGTCTCTTTTGAAGTCCTGGTTTCCCAGTGAGCTTCAGTGAGGAAGAGACATGACTTTCATCGTTCTGACCTTTAAGGCGAAGTCCTTGACCAGCAGCCTCACACCCACCTGGGGGCCTGTTTGGGATACAGAGTCTCAGGCCTGCCCGGGGCCTGCTGAGTGTGAAGCTGTGATTTCACAAGATGCCCAGGAGGTGCTGTGCTCATTAACCTGTCCTCGAAGGCACCTCCAGCAGGACTTGGAGCAGGTGCACAGTCGGCACTGGCCAACGGCTGGCAAGAGGGTGGTGCTGGAGAGTGGAAAACCTGGACCCGATCCTGAAACAAACCAAGAAACCAACAGAAACCGCACGTGGGCCAATCAGCAGGGGGAAGCCACCGCCCCAGAATTCTAAGACCTTCAGGGAGTAACATGAAGAAAATTGTGGCCAAATTATGCAACCCCATTTTTTAGACAGACTCTGTGCCACAGAGTTGAATGATGCCTGTGAGTTTTATTGATAAGATTTCAAGAGGACTCTGAGAATTTGTCTTCCTTCTCAGGTGAGTGGGCTCTGCATGATTGCTCTTCAGATTTTTTGAGAATGGATGGGAAGATGAATTTTTGTGTGAAATCTTGTCTTTTTTGAGTAGCAGACAAGCCAAACAAAACAAGCCAATGGGCCTGCTCAGATCCCGGGGCCACCTTTAAGAGCCGGAGCTCAGCAGTGTTTAATGATCCTCTTCCACAAGCCCACAGCTCTGCTGGGAGGTGTGCTCCAGGGCAAAGAGGACTAGAAGGTGACTCCATTTCCTACATTTCCTACATTCCTCTCCAGTGCAAAGAGGAATAGAAGGTGACTGTTGTCCTCAAGGAGCTTAGAGTCTAGTGAGGGTGTTTGCAAATTTCTGTTTGTGGTGGGAAAATAACAAAGAAGAGGCCGTGAACCCTGAGGTCCTCACAAGCCCGCCAGCTTGTTAGTGATGCGGGTTCCCGGGCTGTAGCCCCGAAGACTCGAGCCCAGTAGCGCAGTGGTGAGACAGGCACCCCCCTTGGTACGAGCACCTGTAGACTCCCGCAGATGTGGTCAGCACCCTTCTCTGAAGCCCCGCAGGTGTTTGTCTCCCTCACACATATGCAAACACGTGTGCGTTTTTTAAATGAATGGAGAATACGGTACTCACTTCCAGCTCTGGAACAAGGGAGGCTTCATGAAAGAGGTGGCCCTGGAGCCACCCTGCCTGATGGCAGGACTGGCCTTGCCTTCTCACTGACACTTGCTCTGGTTGTCTTTCTAACTTCACCAAATTCAAGACTACATGGGAGAAGCTTCTTCTGCTCAGGCCCCACGTGAGAACAAACCACAGGCAGATTTGGGTTCATTGAGATAAGTGAAGTCTTTGTGCTTTCCCTTGGTCCCGACCTCCTGGCTGCAGCCTCAGGAATCCACAGCCTCTCCCATGAAGGGACTCAACTCTCCTCCCTTCCTCTGCATGCCGCAAGGAGCCATGCGCGCTGGGGTAGGGTGGAGGAGGAAGCCTGTGGATGTCACGGCCCCTCTGTCTCAAGTGCCTCTTGGGTGTCTCTCATGCGTGTCACCATCCACTCAGCATGTCTTCACAGAACTCCTGAGAGCAGGGCCTGACCTCCTGCCACCTCCCAGACAGGCTCTCCAGCGCCCTGGGCCCTGGCTCCGGCCCACGAGATGTGCTGAAGCAGCCAGCACAGCAGTGAGCCACTGCTCTGGTGACCCCATGATGGCCCGCTGTGCAGATGAGGCAGCAGCAGCTCCATTGAGCAAGCCAGCGCCAGCTCCTGTCCCGCCACAAATACACACATTCTCAGGAACAACCTAGTTTTTCTCATCTGTAAATGAGGAGCTGAGAAAAAACACCTCTTCCAGCACTTAAATACTATGATCAGAAACTGTCACTACCTTAAACCATCTCCCAAGTACTGTTCACCATGAGTAGCACCTTTGTGTTCCATTTGCTGGTAGCTCTCTTTGCAGATCTGTGTCAGATGTTGTGCACAGCTGTGCATGGCTGTAGGTGGTCGTTCATGTCTAAACGGTTGTAAATGTCTGCATTTGGCTGTGCCTGGCTTCTGGCAATTGTGAATGTGCATGATTGTGCATGTCTGTGAAAGGCTGTGCACAGCTGTTCATGGCTGGGAGTGGTTGTACATGATTGTGCTTGGTTGTGTATTACTGTGAATGATTGTGAATGTGCATGGGTGTGCATGTCTGTGCATGGCTGGGAATGATTGTACATAGTTGTGCATGGTTGTGCATGGTTCCACATGGCTGTGCCTTCCATGTGCATGACGGTGAATGTTGTAAATGTGCATAGTTGCACATGACTGTGCCTGGTTGTGCATGGCTTTGCATGGTTTTGTATGACTGTGAACGGTTGCGAACGTGCATGGTTGTGCATGGCTATGCACAGCTGGGAGTGGTTGCACATGATTGTGCATGGTTGTGCATGACTGTGAATAGCTGTGAATATGCATGGTTGCACATGGCTGTGCATGGCTGTAAGGTTGTGAAAGTGCACAATTGCGCATGTCTGCACATGGATGGGAATGGTTATGAATATCTGTGAATGGTTGTGCATGGTTGGTTATGCAGCTTTGAAGGACTGTGTATGGCTGTGAGTGGTTGTACATGGTTGTGCATGGTTGTATGTGGTTGTGAACTGTCTTAACAGTTCTCATGTGAGCAGGGTTTATGAGTTTCTACAAACACTGTATTTCCTCACATCCTCCATAATATGTGCCACATCTTCATCATAAACCTTATACTCTCTGTCTCTCTCTCTTTTCTCACTCACTCTTTCTCTCTCCCTCTTCTTTCTGCCCCTCCACAAAAGACAGAAAGCATGTGTACCTTGGTCTGTAACTTAATGAAAGCTCAGTCTCAGAGGCTGTAGGTGTCTGCCAGGTTGCAGAGATGTTGTGGGATCCAGTTCAATTGAAACAAAACAAGAACTTTTGCTAAAAGCTCTGCTAGAGATGCTTTCTGTATTAGATACATGTTGTCAACAACTCAGAGGAAATAAACACGTTTGGTTATAACTAACATGCACTGAGCACTCCGGGGAGCAGGTGCCATGCTAAGCCCTTTACTCAGGTTCTCTCATCTAATCCCAAGAACGCGGTCGGGGGGTATTGTTGTGATTCTATAGATGGGTTTGCATAGCCAGTAAGCAGTCCGGCAGGAATTTGAGAAAAAGGCACCTGGCTGCAAAGCTGCCAGTTGAACCACTGTGTCGTGGCCCTCTTAGTTTACACCCTCACGTCCATGAAGCATTTGAATTTCTCAAGATTCAAGGCATTTTTCAAATATGTTTTAATAGTGCAAAAAAATCCAGTGAATGTTGAGAAATATTTTGGGAATGGGAGCAATGTTTGTGAAGCTCCTGCCAAGCTGGCTGAGACTTAGGGCCTCTTAGTCTTGCTCAAGAAGGGAGTATTTGGGACACTCACAGTGCAAGGGTGGGGCCTTTCCAGCACCTGGGGGGTGAGGACCAGGGGCGTCAGGACCCCAGACTACAGGGAAGACCTCACCACGACAAACTTCCACTCAGAACAATCCTGTAGGTGAAAAGCCTGTTT